>NC_000015.10:35095055-35398086 GCF_000001405.40 Homo sapiens | reverse complement strand
TTTCTTACTATTTCACAGTATCACAGAAAGTATAGCAAGACTACTTAATCTGAGCTGTTCATATTCCAAAGCAAAGGATTCTCCATTCTCCTGTCTTGAAGGAGATAGCATGCTCTAATTTGCTTTTTTCTAGGAGTTGATTGGGAAAAATAGCTAGAGGTCTCAGAATCTTGTGTGTGTGTGTGTGTGTGTGTGTGTGTGTGTGTGTGTGTGTGTGTATATATATAAATTGATTCCATCTATTTTTATTATATACCTGTGTCCTTAACTATGTCTCATTTCTCCCAGGCCAGTTCCTCTGTTTATCTGCTGTAGGGAATAAACCTCCAGCATTCTGCCAGGGTAGAAGAGAAGCAGTAGCTAGCCTAGAGAGGGACCTAAGAATCTGACTGCTTGTTAATTAGTGCCCTTTTTCTTTCCCTCTCACTTCCAGAGGTACCTGGTGTCACTAGCTCCTTACCCTTTTGGTTATTCTATTGTGTAAATCAGATTGGTCCTCAGCATTCCCCATTGCTGGCCACAGGCTCAGTGTTCTTGGTCCTGATAAATTGGTTAATGCTGTCACCTCCTCTCCTGTGTTCTCCATCTCTGTGGGTTTATGCCATTTTATGAAATATTTTCCAGTAACATTTTAAAAGGGAGTGGAAGTAGATGCATAGGTTCAATCTACCATCTTTATCAGTAGCAGTTATTCTTTGAGATTTCTTATGATCATCTAAGTAAAAGTCATGTGCTAGATGGAAGAGCAAAATTATATTTTTAAAAATTGTGAGTGTGTAGGTTTAGTTGCTCTTTCTAAGCCAGCTGTCAAAGAATTGGGAAATCTGGCCTCCAGCCTTGAGTCAAAGGTAAACAGAAATGTATTGACTACTTAAGAAGCATACCACTCTGCTGGGTGCTGTAAGAGCTAAACCTGGATAAATGCAACTTAGATTTCAAGCTTAAAGGTTGTTAGGGCATGTATTCATTTTTAACAAGAAAGACACATATTTAAAAATACAGACTTCCTTTCCTAAATTATTCCCTACCTCATAAAAGATTAGATCCAGTTCTTGTTAATTGACAAATTTTCTTCTCACTTTTCTACAGAAGTTAACTTGTCTTCCTTATAGGTTTGACAAAAGCACAACTTGCAGTCCCAGTTACCTATTACTTAAAAAACAAAATGGAAAGAAAAGTTCACGAAAATTGATTTGATGTTGTGGGTGAGAAAGACAGAATTTTAAGACTTGTTCCCTGCAGAGTGACTTTATGGAAAAAAATGCCTTTAACTGACCTTGGAAGTCAAAAGGGTTTGGAACATCTTTGAAAGAAGATTTTGAATTTTGAACATAACAAAGTTTGAAGGATATATAGAACTTTGTATAACTTTATGATTGAGACATCCAATGGCTATTATAAATAAAAATTATAAGATATATTAAAATGTACTTTAAGAGAGTAAAAATCATGTATCACAGAATTTCAAGGAAAAAAATTACATGTTGTGAGAAAATTCAGAGCAACTTCAGAGATAAATTGATAGTCCTAATGAGCTTGAAGGATAGATAGGATTTTTGACTGGCTGGATTGTTATAGGTAAGAGAACAGTTTGTATCAACACATGGGGAAGGGGAAACACAATGTATTTTCAGAAGTTAGTCTCACTTATTTAGAATATATTTTGAGTATTGAAGGGCAAATGGGCCTGCAGCATATTCAGCGTTAAAGCCCAAGACTAACTGCTTCCCTTTCTGTTAGGTCGAATGGGGCTTGGTTAGTTTCTGCCAGCGTGGAGATAAATCATATTATGGCCAGAGGTCATGATGGTAGGAGCGGCCAGAGGAATTCTTGCATTGTGATAAGTATATATAAATTGATAAAGCTGACAAAGGAATTTGCAGCCATATTGTGAGAGATTTTGAAGACTGGAGGAGGATTCAATTATGTAAACAATGAGGAGTAAATGAAGGTTTTAAAGGAAGAGAGTGGGATTCTCAAAGGTGTGTTTTAAGTAGCGTAACTGGCAGTAGTATCTACTGAGATTTTTAGTGGTATTTGACAAAAAGAGGTGTGGGTCCTCGGCAGTTAGTGGCTATTCCAATATGACCCTCACATTTCTCTGAAAGCATGTTGTAGATGAACTGTTAGTTGATAATGTCATGTGGTACTGATAGAATTGAATGATAAGTATGTGTAAGAACTTCTATACCCAGTTCTATGCTAACTGCTATGTGTAAGGACTTCTGTGTCCAGTTCTATGCTAACTGCTATAAGAACTACAAAATAAATCAAAGACTTGGCATTTTCCATGGAATGTAGAGTATAGAACGTGAGGGGGGTAAATCCCTAATAAATTTAACTAGGTAAAGTCAAACTGATACTTACTATAAAAGCACTTGGGAGCTAAAAGATGGAAGATGCCCACATGACCTGGAGTAGCTGAGGAAAGGGTTAGAACTGATTTGAAGGATGGGTGAAATCTACATGGGTCGTGGCAACAAAGTGAATCAATATGAATGAAGACTTTGGCAAGAAGGCATTCAAGGACAACAAAGAAATTTGGTCTAAATGAAACTAAGAGCTGGTGTTGGTAGATCAGTAAGAATACGTTATGTGGGAATGTAAGGCCCATTCATGAAGAGGCTTGAGAGATAGGCCAAGTGATTTGGGGTAAGAAATAAAATTCAGAATTCTCTCCAACCAAAATTTATATTACTGAAAGAAATCTCAGGAGATTTAATCTGGCAGCAGTATTCATGGATTAGGAGTAGAAGATGGAAATGAAAAGGAGTGTAAGATGCTGTTATGGGAAACAGGTGTGAGAGCTCACGGTATTTAACCATTGACAGTAGGGATGGAGAGGTGGAACAAAGCTGAAAGAAAGATTTTTATGGAAGATTGAAAAAGAAATTAGCACCAAATTGCCAGGAGCTAGAAAAGAAAAAATTGAAGATTAATCCACACATAATGATTGGGAGAACTGGAAGCATTTATTTCTGCAGAGAACAAGGTTGAGAAAGAACATGATAAGCTTGACCTTACACATATTTAATTTCAGATTATAACATATAAACCAAAGGCACATGTCTTTTAACCTATCAGATGGAGCACAATTGACATGTTCAGGCTAAAGACTAAGGTTTGTTATCTATCAGGATATTACGAAGAGTCAAACATAACTTTATGTCCTGGTTTTGTTTGGTTCTAAGCTGATAACTTTTGCAAATCAAGCTAGTTTTTACCTCTGGAAAAGAGTAAAAAATAAAATTAGCAGCCCCTTTATTGAGTATATGTTATGTGCTAGACGGCACTTTTGGCATTCCATTCATGTGGTTTTATTCCTGAAAGCAGTTATACTATGAGGTTGGTACTATTGTCATCTCCATTTTACAGATCACAAGTTCAAGGCTCAGAGAAAGCGCTTACATAACCTAAGATCATGTAGCTAGAAAGTGACAGCCAGGATTTGAATGAACCAAGAACTGTCTGTCTCCAAAGCCAGTGCTTTTAACTGATGATGCAATGCTGCTTTCACTGTGCCTCATTACAACATGCACTGTACCCACTCTTAGAATTAAGTTGTGTTTTTATTAAGTGCTTACTAAGTGCTGTACACTGTGCTAAGTGCTTTTTATGCATTATTTTATTTAATCATCTATGAGATCAGTACTATTATTTACAATGAGGAATCACTCATGGGGTGAGTATTTCCATTGCCCAGCTGGGAAGTAGCAAAACTGGAATTTATGGTTAAGTTTATCTGATTTCAAGCCTGTGCTCTTTTTTATTTTTAAAAGTCATTTTGAGTATTAAATAAGATGATAATATAATTATCTTAACCTTAAGTCATAAACCAAATAGTCTTTAATTAGTAGTGATAGTATTAGCAGCAGCAGAATAGCATAAAGGTGATGTTTGAAGCCATGGAGTGCATGGTGCTGTTATAGGGAATGCATTAAGAGAGAAGAACATATTCTAGATAAAACAGTGAGGGATATTTATAACTTAGGAACAGCAGGAAGGAAAGGAGTCAGAGAAGCGTAACAATAACTTAGAAAATATAGTAATGTGGAAGCCTGAGGAAGATAATCAAAAGATTTGAGACATAAGTGGTATTATATGCCACATAAATTGGAAAAGGATAAGGCCTCTGGACTCTCCCAGAAAACTACTACTCATACTAAGTTCTCTATATCAGTAAACAGAACTACCATCTATCCACTTTCCAAATGCAGAAAGCTGAGAATTTTCCTAAATTTCTTTTTTAACTTTCCTCAATCCTCCATTCAATTAATTGTTAATTTTGATGGAGTTCAGGACACTACCCCAAACTATGCCACCTTGACATTCGAGAAAACAGCAGAAGCAGGAAGGTCACTTTCTGACCTCCCTCCATTCTTTTTATGGCCCTGAAGTGGGCCATAAAAGAATCCTTTGACTTTCCCCTAAAGTCATAAGACCTTCATTCCGGAGCCATCCTCTCTACACCCAGAGGAAAGGAATGTTACACAAGGATACAGAAAAGAATCTGAACTAATTGGCCTTGCTGAGTTCCACCCCAGTTTATTGCCATTAGATCATACCCTTTTGTCCTCCATTCATACTTCTGCACAACTCTAAAAACAAACAAACAAAAAAACCATTTCCTGTTTCTTTGGATCTTCATTCCATTATGAAGTCTTCTCATGTCATATAAAACTTATTAAATAAATTTGTATGCTTTTCTGCTTTTCTTTTCTAATTCATCGTTTGTCATAAGTTCCTCAACCATGAACCTTATGATGGAAGAGGAAGAGATACTACATTTTCTCTCCTACAGTTTCAGCCTCTAAAGAAAATCTCTCAAAATATCTACTCTCTCCTCTCCATCCCCATTGCTACTTGCCAGCTTGGGAAACCTTCACCTCCTGCCTAGATTCCTCCAGCTGCTCAGTTCTTTTTGCTTCTAGACTTACATCCAGGCCCCTTCTCCATCATTCATCCAAAATGATGTTTCTAAAATGCAGATGCAATCAGGTCAGTTTTTTGCTTAAAACCTCTCCGTGGGTTCTCTCTGACCTTAGGATAATGACTTAGCATGGCTTATGAAGCCGTGTAAGACCTGTCTTCTGTCTAGACTTTCAGCCTTGTCTCACTGCCATTACTCATCCAGTTATGCTCCAGCTATGCCAAACTCATTTGAATTTCTAGTACCTATCATGTGCTCTGGGATTTAACACATGCAGTTTCTTCTAGAATACTCGTTCCTTCTCTCTTACCTTCTCTCTTCCCCCTTCCATCTTTCAGGGTTAACTTAATCCTTTAGAACTCAGCTTAAGTTTTATTTACTTTGAGAAGACTTTTAGCTTCCTTTTAGATTGGTACCCTGCTTTATACTGTCACAGCATTTCATGCATCTGCCAAAATAATCACTACCCTATATTGTAATTGCTTATTTAAATTTTGGTCTATACAAGACAATAAGCTGTTTTATGCAGGATACATGGCTGCTCCCATTTTTATCCCTAGTACCTAAAACAATACTAAACCTAGAGTAGATATTCAGTAAATACATCCTTAATAAGTGTTATGAATGAATTATCTTCTATGTTAAGAATACCGTTTATAAAATGAAATTGCGATTTTTGTAAACCTCATTGTTTCCTCTAGGTGGAGGTGAAAGGTGAAGAAGTATGAGTTTGGCTTTTTTTTTTTTTCCATTTTAAAATGACTAACAGATAAGTGAGACTGATTTAAAAGAAGAAAAAGTTTGATTTAATAAGAAATTCAACAATTATGATTATTACAATCTTAGGGAAATCATGACGCCCTTAGCCATTCAGTTCAATAATCAGCAGTATTCCAATGGAGCTACCATGAATATGAATATTTATCTATATAAATAAGTGTGCCAGAAAGAAAATAGATTCATGTAAGTAATTTCTTTTTAATTTACTAGGAATTCATTTTTAAAATGCTGAAACCCCAAGGCATTCTTACAAACCATGAAATCACCCAAGTTAGCCACATCTGTTCAAATGTTTTCAAAAGCTTAACCTAACATTAATTAGATGGCAACCCAATTTTCACCTTCTCTAAAAGAGAACACAGCACACTTTAGCTATATGTGAGATTGCAGTTGGGATCAAGATGGCTGAATAGGAACAGCTCCAGCCTACAGCTCCCAGCATCAGCGACGCAGAAGACGGGTGATTTCTGCATTTCCAAATGAGGTACCGGGTTCCTCTCACTGAGGAGTGCCGGACAGCGGGTGCAGGACAGTGGGTGCAGTGCACCATGCATGAGCCAAAGCAGGGCGAGGCATCACCTCACCTGGGAAGCGCAAGGGGTCAGGGAATTCCCTTTCCTACTCAAAGAAAAGGGTGACAGACGGCACCTGGAAAATCGGGTCACTCCCACCCTAATACTGCGCTTTTCCAACGGGCTTAACAAACTGCACACCAGGAGATTATATCCCACACCTGGTTCGGAGGGTCCTACGCCCACGGAGCCTCGCTTACTGCTAGCACAGCAGTCTGAGATCAAACTGCAAGGTGGCAGCAAGGCTGGGGGAGGGGCGCCCACCATTGCTCAGGCTTGAGTAGGTAAACAAAGTGGCTAGGAAGCTCGAACTGAGTGGAGCCCACCACAGCTCCAGGAGGCCTGCCTGCCTCTGTAGGCTCCACCTCTGGGGGCAGGGCACAGACAAACAAAAGACAGCAATAACCTCTGCAGACTTAAATGTCCCTGTCTGACAGATTTGAAGAGAGTAGTGGTTCTCCCAGCATGCAGCTTGGGATCTGAGAATGGACAGACTGCCTCCTCAAGTGGGTCCCTGACCCCCAAGTAGCCTAACTGGGAGGCACCCCCCAGTAGGGGCGGACTGACACCTCGCACAGCCAGGTACTCCTCTGAGAAAAAACTTCCAGAGGACCGATCAGGCAGCAGCATTTGTGGCTCTCCAATATCCACTGTTCTGCAGCCTCCGCTGCTGATACCCAGGCAAATAGGGTCTGGAGTGGACCTCCAGTAAAGTCCAACAGACCTGCAGCTGAGGGTCCTGACTGTTAGAAGGAAAACTAACAAAAAGACAGGACATCCACACCAAAAACCCATCTGTACGTCACCATCATCAAAGACCAAAGGTAGACAAAACCACAAAGATGGGGAGAAAACAGAGCAGAAAAACCAGAAACTCTAAAAATCAGAGTGCCTCTCCTCCTCCAAAGGAATGCAGCTCCTCACCAGCAATGGAGCAAAGCTGGACGGAGAATCACTTTGACGAGTTGAGAGAGGAAGGCTTCAGAAGATCAAACTACTCCGAGCTAAAGGAGGAAGTTCGAACCAATGGCAAAGAAGTTAAAAACTTTGAAAAAAAATTAGACAAATCGATAACTAGAATAACCAATGCAGAGAAGTCCTTAAAGGACCTGATGGAGCTGAAAACCATGGCATGAGAACTACGTGACAAATGCACAAGCCTCAGTAACCGATGTGATCAACTGGAAGAAAAGGTATCAGCGATGGAAGACAAAATGAATGAAATGAAGTGAGAAGAGAAGTTTAGAGAAAAAAGAATAAAAAGAAATGAACAAAGCCTCCAAGAAATATGGGACTATGTGAAAAGACCAAATCTACGTCTAATTGGTGTACCTGAAAGTGATGGGGAGAATGGAACCAAATTGGAAAACACTCTGCAGGATATTATCCAGGAGAACTTCCCCAATCTAGCAAGGCAGGCCAACATTCAAATTAAGGAAATACAGAGAACACCACAAAGATACTCCTCGAGAAGAGCAACTCCAAGACACATAATTGTCAGATTCACCAAAGTTGAAATGAAGGAAAAAATGTCAAGGGCAGCCAGAGAGAAAGGTCGGGTTACCCACAAAGGGAAGCCCATCAGACTAACAGCTGATATCTCGACAGAATTCTACAAGCCAGAAGAGAGTGGGGACCAATATTCAACATTCTTAAAGAAAAGAATTTTCAACCCAGAATTTCATATCCAGCCAAACTAAGCTTCATAAGAGAAGGAGAAATAAAATCCTTTACAGACAACCAAATGCTGAGAGATTTTTGTCACCACCAGGCCTGCCCTAAAAGAGCTCCTGAAGGAAGCACTAAATATGGAAAGGAACAAGCAGTATTAGCCACTGCAAAAACATGACAAATTGTAAAGACCATCGAGGATAGGAAGAAACTGCATCAAATAATGAGCAAAATAACCAGCTAACATCATAATGACAGGATCAAATTCACACATAACAACACTAATCTTAAATGTAAATGGGCTAAATGCTCCAATTAAAAGGCACAGACTGGCAAATTGGATAAAGAGTCAAGACCCATCAGTGTGCTGTATTCAGGAAACCAATCTCACGTGCAGAGACACACACAGGCTCAAAATAAAGGGATGGAGGAAGATCTACCAAGCAAATCGAAAACAAAAAAAGGCAGGGATTGCAATCCTAGTCTCTGATAAAACAGACTTTAAACCAACAAAGATCGAAAGAGACAAAGAAGGCCATTACAGAATGGTAAACAGATCAATTCAACAAGAAGAGCTAACTATCCTAAATATATATGCACCCAATACAGGAGCACCCAGATTCATAAAGCAAGTCCTTAGTGACCTACAAAGAAACTTAGACTCCCACACAGTAATAATGGGAGACTTTAACACCCCACTGTCAACATTAGACAGATCAATGAGACAGAAAGTTAACAAGGATATCCTGGAATTGAACTCAGCTCTGCACCAAGCAGACCTAATAGACATCTACAGAACTCTGCACCCCAAATCAACAGAATATACATTCTTTTCAGCACCACACCACACCTATTCCAAAATTGACCACATAGTTGGAAGTAAAGCACTCCTCAGCAAATGTAAAAGAACAGAAATTATAACAAACTGTCTCTCAGACCACAGTGCAATCAAACTAGAACTCAGGATTGAGAAACTCACTCAAAACCGCTCAACTACATGGAAACTGAACAACCTGCTCCTGAATGTCTACTGGGTACATAACGAAATGAAGGCAGAAATAAAGATTTCTTTGAAACCAACGAGAACAAAGACACAACATACCAGAATCTCTGGGACACATTCAAAGCAGTGTGTAGAGGGAAATTTATAGCACTAAATGCCCGCAAGAGAAAGCAGGAAAGATCTAAACTTGACACCCTAACATCACAATTAAAAGAACTAGAGAAGCAAGAGGAAACACATTCAAAAGCTAGCAGAAGGCAAGAAATAACTAAGATCAGAGCAGAACTGAAGGAAATAGAGACACAAAAAACCCTTCAAAAAATCAGTGAATCCAGGAGCTGGTTTTTTGAAAAGATCAACAAAATTGATAGACTGCTAGCAAGATGAATAAAGAAGAAAAGAGAGAAGAATCAAATAGATGCAATAAAAAATGACAAAGGGGATATCACCACCAATCCCACAGAAATACAAACTACCATCAGAGAATACTATAAACACCTCTATGCAAATAAACTAGAAAATCTAGAAGAAATGGATAAATTCCTGGACACATACACTCTTCCAAGACTAAACCAGGAAGAACTTGAATCTCTGAATAGACCAATAACAGGCTCTGAAATTGAGGCAATAATTAATAGCTTACCAATAAAAACAGTCCAGGACCAGATGGATTCACAGCTGAATTCTACCAGAGATACAAGGAGGAGCTGGTACCATTCCTTCTGAAACTATTCCAATCAATAGAAAAAGAGGAAATCCTCTGTAACTCATTTTATGAGGCCACCATCATCCTGATACCAAAGCCTGGCAGAGACACCACAAAAAAAGAGAATTTTAGACCAATATCCCTGATGAACATTGATGCAAAAATCCTCAATAAAATACTGGCAAACCGAATCCAGCAGCACATCAAAAAGCTTATTCACCATGATCAAGTGGGCTTCATCCCTGGGATGCAAGGCTGGTTCAACATATGAAAATCAATAAATGTAATCCAGCATATAAACAGAACCAAAGACAATAAGCACATGATTATTTCAATAGATGCAGAAAAGGCCTTTGACAAAATTCAACAACCTTCATGCTAAAAACTCTCAATAAATTAGATATTGATGGGACATATCTCAAAATAATAAGAGCTATCTATGACAAACCCACAGCCAATATCATACTGAATGGACAAAAACTGGAAGCATTCCCTTTGAAAACTGGCACAAGACAGGGATGCCCTCTCTCACCACTCCTATTCAACATAATGTTGGAAGTTCTGGCCAGGGCAATCAGGCAGGAGACGGAAATAAAGGGCATTCAATTAGGAAAAGAACAAGTCAAATTGTCCCTGTTTGCAGATGACATGATTGTATATCTAGAAAACCCCATCGTCTCAGCCCAAAATCTCCTTAAGCTGATAAGCAACTTCAGCAAAGTCTCAGGATACAAAATCAATGTGCAAAAGTCACAAGCATTCTTATACACCAATAACAGACAAACAGAGAGCCAAATCATGAGTGAACTGCCATTCACAATTGCTTCAAACAGAAGAAAATACCTAGGAATCCAACTTACAAGGGATGTGAAGGACCTCTTCAAGGAGAACTACAAACTACTGCTCAATGAAATAAAAGAGGATACAAACAAATGGAAGAATATTCCATGCTCCTGGGTAGGAAGAATCAATATCGTGAAAATGGCCATACTGCCCAAGGTAATTTATAGATTCAATGCCATCCCCATCAAGCTACCAGTGACTTTCTTCACAGAATTGGAAAAAACTACTTTAAAGTTTATATGGAACCAAAAAAGAGCCCGCATTGCCAAGTCAATCCTAAGCCAATAGAACAAAGCTGGAGACATCATGCTGCCTGACTTCAAACTATACTACAAGGCTACAGTAACCAAAACAGCATGCTACTGGTACCAAAACAGAGATATAGACCAATGGAACAGAACAGAGACCTCAGATATAATGCCGCATGTCTACAACTATCCGATCTTTGACAAACCTGACAAAAACAAGCAATGGGGAAAGGATTCCCTATTTAATAAATGGTGCTGGGAAAACTGGCTAGCTACATGTAGAAAGCTGAAACTGGATCCCTTCCTTACACCTTATACAAAAATTAATTCAAGATGGATTAAAGACTTACATGTTAGACCTAAAATCATAAAAACCCTAGAAGAAAACCTAGGCATTACCATTCAGGACATAGGCATGGGCAAGGACTTCATGTCTAAAACACCGAAAGCAATGGCAACAAAAGCCAAAATTGACAAATGGGATCTAATTAAACTAAAGAGCTTCTGCACAGCAAAAGAAACCACCATCAGTGTGAACAGGCAACCTACAAAATGGGAGAAAATTTTTGCAACCTACTCATCTGACAAAGGGCTAATATCCAGAATCTACAATGAACCCAAACAAATTTACAAGAAAAAAACAACTCCATCAAAAAATTGGCAAAGAATATAAACAGACACTTCTCAAAAGAAGACATTTATGCAGTCAAAAAACACATGAAAAAATGCTCATCATCACTGGCCATCAGAGAAATGCAAATCAAAACCACAATGAGATACCATCTCACACCAGTTAGAATGGCGATCATTAAAAAGTCAGGAAACAACAGGTGCTGGAGAGGATGTGGAGAAATAGGAACACTTTTAAACTGTTGGGACTGTAAACTAGTTCAACCATTGTGGAAGTTGGTGTGGCGACTCCTCAGGGATCTAGAACTAGAAATACCATTTGACCCAGCCATCCCATTACTGGGTATATACCCAAAAGATTATAAATCATGCTGCTATAAAGACACATGCACACATATGTTTATTGCAGCACTATTCACAATAGCAAAGACTTGGAACCAACCCAGATTTCCAACAATGGTAGACTGGATTAAGAAAATGTGGCACATATACACCATGGAATACTATGCAGCCATAAAAAATGATGAGTTCATGTCCTTTGTAGGGACATGGATGAAGCTGGAAACCATCATTCTCAGCAAACTATCACAAGGACAAAAAACCAAACACCATATGTTCTCACCCCATAGGTGGGAATTGAACAAAGAGAACACATGGACACAGGAAGGGGAACCTCACACACCGGGGCCTGTTGTGGGGTGGGGGTAGCAGGGAGGGATAGCATTAGGAGATATACCTAATGCTAAATGAAGAGTTAATGGGTGCAGCACACCAACATGGCACATGTATACATATGTAACAAACCTGCACGTTGTGCACATGTACCCTAAAACTTAAAGTATAATAATAAAAAAAAATGTGAAACAATAAACACACTTTTATACAAATGAAAATTATAAAATAAGTTTTTGAGGAAATCATATTGCCTTTTTTTATTATTATTATACTTTAAGTTCTGGGATACATGTGCAGAATGTGCAGGTTTGTTACATAGGTATACACATGCCATGGTGGTTTGCTGCAACCATCAACCTGTTATCTACATTAGGTATTTCTCCTAATGCTATCCCTCCCCTAGCCCCTGACCCCCTGACAGGCTCTGGTGTGTGATGTTCCCCTCCCTGTATCCATGTGTTCTCATTGTTCAACTCCCACTTATGAGTGAGAACATGCAGTGTTTGGTTTTCTGTTCCTGTGTTAGTTTTCTGAGAATGGTTTCCAGCTTCATCCATGTCCCTGCAAAGGCCATGAAATCATCCTTTTTTATGGCTACATAGTACTCCATGCTGTATATGTGCCACATTTTCTTTATCCAGTCTATTATTGATGGGCATTTGGGTTGGTTCCAAGTCTTTGCTATTGTGACCGTGCTGCAGTAAACATACGTGTGCATGTGTCTTTATAGTAGAATGATTTATAATCCTTTGGGTATATATCTGGTAATGGGATGGCTGGGTCAAATGGTATTTCTAATTCTAGATCCTTGAGGAATCGCCACACTGTCTTCCACAATGGTTGAACTAATTTATACTCCCACCAACAGTGTAAAAGTGTTCCTATTTTTCCACATCCTCTCCAGCATCTGTTGTTTCCTGACTTGTTAATGATCGCCAATCTAACTGGCATGAGATGGTATCTCATTGTGGTTTTGATTTGCATTTCTCTAATGACCAGTGATGATGAGCTTTTTTTCATATGTTTGTTGGCCGCATAAATGTCTTCTTTTGAGAAGTGTCTGTTCATATCCTTCACCTACTTTTTGATGGGGTTGTTTTTTTTCTTGTAAATTTGTTTAAGTTCCTTGTAGATTCTGGATATTAGCCCTTTGCCAGATGGGTAACTTGCAAAAATTTTCTCCCATTCTGTAGGTTGCCTGTTCACTCTGATGATAGTTTCTTTTGCTGTGCAGAAGCTCCCTAGTTTAATTAGATCCCATTTGTAGCTGTTCCTTCTCCTCATCCCTGCATGCATAGGGGTGGTAACAACTATGCCAGTGGTTCTCAATGAGGGGTGATTTTTTATTTTTATTTTTATTTTTTTGAGACAGAGTTTCACTCTTGACCCTCAGGCTGGAGTGCAATGGTGCGATCTCGGCTCACTGCAACCTCCGCCTCCTGGGTTCAAGCGATTCTCCTGCCTCAGCCTCCTGAGTAGCTGGGATTTTTTTTTCCACAAATGACACCTGGCAATATCTGCAGACATTTTTGATTGTCATGACTTTGAAGGCTATTAGCATCTAGTTCCTGGCCTCGGCCTTGAAGTTCTCTCTATACTTCTCTTAATGAACTTATCAAATGTCATAGCTTTAAATACATCTGTATAAGAATAACTTAGTGAAAGAATAGATGGCATGAAAACTATGTGTTTTTCAATGTAGTTTGTTATTTTTGTTTACTTAAATTATGAAAAGAATCATGAAAATTCATTGAGAAATTAAACTTTTCAAAAATCTGTTAATGATTTAGTATTTTTCATTACAATGATACTGATAGAGAAGCTTATCAAAGAGAATGGCAAAAATTGCATTTGGAATGATTAAGTGCTAGGATACAATAATCCCAATTTTGAGTCGAAGCCAGAGACAGACCTGAGATGGGTTAGGAATAAAGTTGCTGTTTTCTATGAACAGTGTAAATATTAGTACTACTAACTTTTAGAAAGGTAAATAGAAAGGTTGTACACCATAAATAAGTGTCTAGAATGTGCACATCTGGATGCTTCACATACCTAAACTGACCTATCACATGCATACGTCATGCTTTTGTGCTACAAAGATTCTGCTTTTTAATAAGGTGCTGTGTCTTAGAAGATTCATTAAAGAAAGTGGCTGGCATAGGCTTTACTTCTTGAGGAGGTTCTCTCAAGACATCAAAGGGCCTTTGAGCTGGCTAAAAGTAATCCAGCAAAGCTGAATTTTTCTCTCAGTACTTGTGTCTATTAGAGCTTGAAGCTTGTAGAATTTAGAGAGGCCACAGAAGATATTGTAAGGATTTAGTCATACTATTTCCTGGTTCCTCAGCCATAGAAACCACTGGGTTCTTTATCCCAATTTCTTGACTTGGAACCTATGTGTCAATACTGGTGAATCAGTAATAGAAAGGGAGAAGACATTGTGCCTATTCATTTATAGAGGCAATATCGCTGTTGCGTCATTAGTGTGTGATGTTAAAATACAGAGTACAGTATATTTGGTAAGCTTCAAGAGACCAAGAAGGTTGTCTCGTTATCTTGTTTACTTTTGAAACTTCATCATCTAGCAAGGCCTGGCTAATAACTATTTTTCAAAAAGTGTTTGTCGAAGAACTGACTGAATGAATGAATGTGATAGAAATATTTTATGTGAATTGAAAATATCACTGGGTACATCCAGATTTTAAAGTCTCCTCTTGAATATATGAGTCTTTTATAATGGTAATATTTTGGTTTAACATAGCAGCTTACATTATTTTACTAGGGACTAAGAGAACCACTTCTATAGGATAATAACCATACCAAATTTAATTTAAAAATGTAGTTATTCTTTGGTGGTGGATTACAGAAATTACACAGAACTTCAGTAAAACATTTTCTAATAAAAGAATGCTAATAAATGATAAGGTATACTCCCCACATAAAGAGAGTGGTCATAAGTTATAAAGGTGTAATTAGAAAGTTCATTTGGTGGAAAGTTGTTAGAAAGGGTGAATAGCATAGAGTAGAAAGGAGAGTGCTCCCCAGCACTGATGCCAGACATATGCCAACCAGATAGGAGATTTTTTTACTCTCAATATCAAGACTATTTAAATGGTATGGCTTATATTTAATGCAAATCATAGGTTTTTTTGTGTTTTGCTGCTTGGTTTTTTTTTTCTTTTTTTTAATTTCAGGTTTGATTAGACAAATTTGTAAGTTACCCAACCTTTCTTGAAGTTGGACCTTCTTAAGGCTTGTCTGCAGCTTTGGAACTTTACTAGTTCTCAGTGCCCTTGGAACTTTCCTAATAACAACTGCAAGCATAATAAACATGTATGTGACTTCTTTTTGTTCATGCCTAAGGAAAGGCCTTATATTGCTTTTTCTGTATCCTTGAGAAATTCACTAAACACAGCGTTTTCATTCCCTTCCACTTAAAGGCAAAGAGTTGGGGGAGCCCAATTTGGCTGCATATATTTTTGTTTATTACATTGTGACTGAATCTAGCTTTGAATCTGAGGCTACTGTCATTCCCCAAATTTACAATAATCTTAATTTTGTGTGTGTGTGTGTGTGTGTGTTTTGTTTTTCGTTTTTATTTTTGACGGAGTCTCCCTCTGTCGCCCAGGCTGATCTCGGCTCACTGCAAACTCGGCTGAGCTCCGTCTCCCGGGTTTACGCCATTCTCCCGCCTCGGCCTCCCGAGTAGCTGGGACTGCAGGCGCCCACCACCATGCCCGGCTAATTTTTTTGTATTTTTAGTAGAGACGGTGTTTCACCATGTTAGCCAGGATGGTCTCGATCTCCTGACCTTGTGATCCGCCCGCCTCGGCCTCCCAAAGTGCTGGGATTACAGGCGTGAGCCAACGCGCCTGGCCTCTTAATGTTATTTTTTTTTAAGAGTTTTGGCATTCTTGGGGATCCTATGCCTTATGATAACATTTTTGAAATGGCTTTAAACAGGTTTTAAGCAGAAATATAATTAATTTTCCTTACCTTGCAAACTATTTTGGAATTAAAGTTTTTTGTATGGATTTTTTAGTACCAGATAAGAGAGCATTTATGCTGTCTAATTTTAAACTTCTTTCTTGTTTTTTGTGTTTTCCTATTTTCAGCTTTCTAAGAAGTATGGAGTACATGTTTGTGGAGAAGGTGGAGAGTATGAAACTTTCACTTTGGATTGCCCTCTATTTAAGAAGAAAATAATTGTGTAAGATATCATTTCAGCATTTTCTTTTTTTCCCATAAATTTAAGTGATGGAAGCAACTGAACATTAAGCTTGAGGCAACTTTTGTTGGGAAAAATAGAACATGTCTTCTAAGTTCACAAACACTCAATTTGTTTAATACCAGTGAAGTTATCTGAATATCTAAATCAATACCTGACAAGACGAGGCCTTCATAGAAGGCTATAAACTTTTTAGACATTGCACTTTCGTTTACTTGCTGATTATGGCCTGCAGTAAAACTGGTACCTACACACCGACACTTTTATCCTTTCATGAAGTGTGAATTGCCTGTATTATTTATCTTTCATTACAGCTACATTTGATAAACTGCCACATCAGTAGCCTGTGGGTTCCATTAACTCCTTCCTCTTTTTTCTTTTTCTTGGCTTTAACAACTCAGAATGGTAATGTAAACATTTCTCTTCAGTTATTTGGGGTTATTTTTACACATAAACTTTGTTTTTAAATGAATTTAGTTGATGGTGAGTAGTGTGATTTCTTTGCCATAAATTGTTAAAATTAGTGTAGTGAAAAACAGAAACTTTCTTCAGTTTGTTACCTTATCATCCATGCTCTAATTTATGTTGCTCTCTTTATATGCTAAGAGAACACTATCTGCTTTTCTTAAGCCTGTATGCATCATGGAAAAGATTGTCAGAGTTATGCTTGATTGAATGGAAGGCTTCAGTATTTCTAACACTAAGACTTAACCTCTTTGTGCATATTAATAATGAGGGAAGGAGTGATCTAAGAAAATTAAGACAACAACTCTAGGTGGATTTTCTTAAAAAATGCAATTTGTAAAATATGACAAGACATTTTCATTACCATATGCAATATTCATGCACTCTTGCTTTCATATTCTTCTAATTTCTTTTCCATTAATAATCAACATAATCATTATTTATTTGACAAATACTCATCAAGTACCTATTACATCCAAAGTGTTCTCCTGGGCACCACTGATGTTCAAATAGTTTCTGCCTTCAAAGGGGTAGAAAAAGACATCTGTGTGTAATTACGATAAAAGGTGGTAAAAAATAAGTCATAAGTTTATTTATGGGAGAGGACATATTTATTTTGCCCATGATGATCCCAAAACAATTAATGAGTCAACTATTGATAAGTTATTACTTCTATGAAATAATACGTTATATTATTCAAGAAAAACATTTGCAAGCTAGTGTGAAATTATAGTAGAAAATTTAGGATATATTTACTTGTTAATATAGGACTAACCAAATCAGAAAAAAAAAGCACAGCAATAAGTGGAAAACATGCCAAAGAATAATACTTTCTCTATTTGCCAGAAAAATTGAGGTCCCAGAGCACCTGGAAGTCTTTATGGACAACATGGAATTACAAGACATGTACTGCTTTACTCTACATAACCAGAAGATATGTTTATCACAGTATTTTAGACCTAGAATATGAATCCTTTTCAACCTCCTCATTTTGTAGGCAAGGAAACCTAAGCCTGACAGAGACAGTGGCATGAAGGGAATTACTCATGCTGTTAAAGAGAAGATGTCAGGGAAGGTGGTTAGAACCCTCTAGTGCTAAAATGAGCTGTTCAGTGCAAAGTGTGAGTAGAACTCTGCAAGTTGCTGCCCTGCTCTGTAGGAGTTCTTCCTGTAACCAAAGAGATGGACAGGCAAATCAACAATAACTGATAGGTGCTACCACGCAGGTATGTACCTTGTAAACACAAAGGAAGCCCTGTCTTTTCATTGTTACTCATTTATGAGTTAATCACCAATCTAATTCTGATGCTTAAGCATATTCTTTGCTTTTTTTTTTCTTCATAGGCTATGCCTCACTTCAGCTTCATACTTTTCTTTTGTGATACCTTTTCTCTAGATTGCCTTCTCATTTCTGACCACTTTGCTAAATCCTTTCATTTTTATATGCTTTGGCTGCCATTGCCTCCAGTGCTTGTTCTCATACTTATCAGAGCATACATTAGGCTATTTGCTAAATACTGTTGGACTAATTTGTAATTTGTTGTTGTTTATTTTTGTTTATATATGGTATTTCACATACTTTTATGTATTTATTTGTTAGGTTATAACTTGAAGTTATAGGTTGGGAAATATCCTCATTTGGCAGAAAAAGGATATCACTTAATATAAACAAAATCTCCCCTCCTCTTTAAAATTGAAATGTCCTAAGCATACCTGCCTGATATACAATAAATGCGAAGATGTGAGTGAACATGTTTTGTGCATTCTAAAACTGTATGTAAATGAAAGTTATATTATTTAGATATAATCTTCCATATAATACAATTAAAAGATGAGCTTAGTTCCTGTAACTGTTTTTTAACAATTGAGTATTAATAATTCTGGATCCAATCATTTAGAATTCATTTTGGGGACAGATTTTATAACTTCTGTTATATTTGATGTAATAATTGTCTGCCACTATTAGCACGCAACTAATCATTTATTAGGAATCCTACTTCAAACGTCTGATTCAAATGACATTTTATTTTTTACAAAAAAAGAAGACTACCTCTAAGGCGAGAAAAAATAAATTTTACATGCAGACTTATTTGATTATAATTAGATATCTTTTTTGAGGTGAGGGAGGGGCCATGTGGGCCAATGTAATCATGAGGATCCTTAGAAGAAAGAGGCAGAAGGGTCCGAGTCAGAGAACGGGATGTAACAACGGAAGTAGACTCAAGTGACATGGAGCCATGAGCCAAGAAATGTGGGAAGCTTCTACAAGCTAGAAAAAGCAAGGAACAGATTCTCCTCTAAAGTCCCAAGAGAGAATGCAGTTGTACCAATACCTCGGGGGTTTGTTTGTTTGTTTGTTTGTAAATTATACTTTTAAGTTCTAGGGTACATGTGAAGAATGTGTAGGTTTGTTACGTAGGTATACACGTGCCATGGTGGTTTGCTGCAACCATCAACCCATAACCTACATTAGGTATTTCTCCTAATGTTATGCTTCCCCCAGCCCCCCACCCCTGACAGGCCCTGGTGCATGATGTTCCCCTCCCTGTGTCCATGTGTTCTCATTGTTCAACTCCCACTTGTGAGTGAGAACATGCAGTGTTTGGTTTTCTGTTTTTGTGATAGTTTGCTGAGAATGATGGTTTTCAGCTTCATCCTTGTCCCTGAAAGGACATGAACTCATCCTTTTTTCTGGCTGCATAGTATTCCATGATGTATATGTGCCACATTTTCTTTATCCAGTCTATTGTTGATGGACATTTAGGTTGGTTCCAAGTCTTTGCTATGTGAATGGTGCCACAATAAACATACATGTGCATGTGTCTTTATAGTAGAATGATTTATAATCCTTTGGGTATATACTTAGTAATGGGATTGCTGCGTCAAATGGTATTTCTAGGTCTAGATCCTTGAGGAATCGCCACACTGTCTTCCATAATGGTTGAACTAATTTACACTCCCACCAACAGTGTAAAATTGTTCCTGTTTCTCCACATCCTCTCCAGCATGTGTTGTTTCCTGACTTTTTAATGATCGCCAGTCTAACTGGCGTGAGATGGTATCTCATTGTGGTTTTGATTTGCATTTCTCTAATGACAGGTGATGATGAGCATTTTTTCATTTGTCTGTTGGCTGCATAAATGTCTTCTTTTGAGAAGTGTATGTTTATATCCTTTGCCCACTTTTTGATGGGGTTGTTTTTTTCTTGTAAATTTTGTTTAAGTTCTTTGTAGATTCCACGATTGAATCTTTTTTGTATAATGAAGTAATTTAGAGAGATCAGTGTGGTTCTAGAAGTTTATTATGCCAGGTGCAGTGGCTCACGCCTGTAATCACAACACTTTGGGAGGGCAGGGCAAGAAGATCACTTGAGGCCAGGAGTTCGAGACTGCAGTCATCTATAATTGCACCACAGAACTCCAACCTGGGCAACATTGCAAGACCCTGTCTCTAAAAAAAAAAACAATATGAATAACAATAATAAAAAATGATAAATAAGTAGAAGTTTATTATGAGATACCTTTTGCCCAAATTCCAATTAACATTTTAAAATGTTTTTAGGAAAGACTAGTATAACAGGCTTTGTCTGGAAATAATTTTTTATATTTCTACCTAGAACAGTTTACAATTCACTTTTCGTGTCTATTGACAGATGAAGTCATTCACCTCTAGATAGAAATTTTGAGATGAGAAAATGAGTTTTTTCCCTGAGAAGCCCTCCTGAGAAGAATTATAGCCTAGCTTTTAAGAGAAAAGGATAATTGTAGGTCCTCAAATTAGAAACCTGCTCTCTTATTACTTATTTTACATATATATGTATATTCATAACTAAAATCTTAAGGTAGTGTTAATGAAAGTAGTCATTTTCTTCTCTCTCTTCATGTATACATTTTTATGTCAGTATTTGAGACAATTCTATAGTTCTGTTTTAATCATCAGTATCACTGTATTACTGCTACAAAGTTGCCACATATGGGATGGATAGATGATGGATGGATGGATGGATGGATGGATGGGTGGACGGAAGAATAAGAATGAAAAAAGAAGAAAGGAAGAACCAAATCCTATGGTTAAAACACTTTATCCTCATTTTCATCCCCACCTACTCATATTTTCTGCCCACTCAAGGCATAACTCAATACAGAACACCGTAATGCCGTGTTTCAAAATGAGTATAAAGCAAATACTTTATTTGCCTTCTTACATTGATTCTGTATCATCTGAGAATTTATTTAAATTTATGAGCTATTTTCCTTATATTTAAATTTTCAGACCTACTAATCTTTATTTTTATTATGGTAGAGATATCATATACTGTTATTGGTGTATATATATGTGCATATATGAATATGTTTATATATGCAGTATGCATGTATGAGAAAGTGTGTACAGTCATGAGTCACTTAATGTGGAAACATTCTGAGAAATGCATTGTTAGGCAATTTTGTCATTTTGCAAGCACCAGAGTATACTTATACAAATATAGATGGTATAGCCTACTACATACCTAGGCTGTATGCTCCTAGGCTATAAACCTGGACACCATATTACTGTACTGGAGACTGAATAACTGTAACACAGTGGTAAATATTCATATATCTAAATGTATCTAAGCATAGAAAAGGTACAGTAAAAATATGATATAAAAAATTTTTTAAATGGTACACCTGTACAGGGCACTTAACATGAATGAAGCTTACAGGACTGAAAGTTGCTCTGGGTGAGTCAGTGAGTGAGTGGTGAGTGAATGGAAGGCCTAGGACATTACTGTACACTACTGTAGACTTTAAAAGCACTGTACACTTAGGCTACACTAAATTCATTTTTAAAATAAAATTGTGCTACAACATTATGACAGCTATGATGTCACTAGGTGATAGGAATTTTTCAGCTCCATTATGATCTTATGGCACCACCGTAATACCCAGTCAGCCTTTAACCAAAAATAGCATTATGTGGCACGTGACTGTATTCACATGAAGATAGGTAATTGAAAAATCACTGTGAGTTTCTAATAGTTTCACTAATTAGTGTGTAATTGTGAGGATACTTAACAAAGTTTAACTGTACATTCATTTATTCAACAAATATCTAATGAATATTAGGCAATGTACTTTATACAGAGCTCAGGGTGGGGTAGAACAGGGACAGGCAGACAAAGATGAACAAAACTGGTTCCTCTCCCCGAAGAAAGGCACACAAACACATAATTATAATGTAGTGGATGTGTTATGAAAGGGCTATAAATGCAATACTGAAGCACATAACGGAGAAAACTAGTACTGTCTGAGGGTGTCAGGGAAGGCTTCATGGAAATAACATTTGAGATGTCTGTGAGGATAAGTGTGAGTCTGTGGGGAATATCTGTATACCTTTTAGTGAATACAGAAACCGTATGTTTGAGCAAGAGAGGTAAACAGTGGTTCAGTCCCAGCTTAGCGTAGTTGTCCTTTTAGAGGAGAGGTGGGGACAAAGACCATGGCTGAGTCTCAAGAGGGAATACCATTTTTTTTTTTGAGGTGAGAGGTAGAGCCTGACCCCAACACCTCAGGAGGCTGGTATCAAGGAAGAGAGGCCCAAACCAAACCCAGCTGCCCATTTGATGTTGTTAAGTAGGGGTGAGCCTAGTGTAGTAATGAAAGAGAACATGGGCATGCTCTTGGCTGTGGAAAAGACCTAGCTATATGACAGGTGGTAACTGCTACACTGATTAATGGAGAAAGGAAAGGAGGACAGCCAGCTGGGGAGCATTTTTGCTGTGGCACAATTGTCTTAGTTTTCTGGATTAATCTGAGGATATTCTGACAGATTCTGCTTTCAGGATTCAGAGAAATCCATGAAGCAGAGACCAGAGTTCCTTGAAATTTGAGTATCACTGTGATAGTATATGAGAGAGAAGAGCAATAGTGAGTGGTATTATTCTGCTTGAAACTGAAAGCTGTTCATTTGAAATCTGGTCTCTCCCAGTTGACTCTTCCTTTGTATAAGTGAATGAAATTATGTTAGTCAATTAGAAATTATGAATTTAATAGAGTTTATAAAAACTGGAGTCTTCTTCATTTAGTGCTCAGAATGTCATATATTCTCTCTGGGTAATAATCTTGATTCAGATCATTTAAGCTATTTGCTGTCATCCCTCTGTTTCTAGTGGTGATAACTGACATGAGAAGGGAGGACCTAAAACCCTTTCTACTGAGATAGTATTAGTTCAGGTTAATTATAGTTTTGGCGCACCCCATTGTCAAGAATATCAAAACCAAGCTGCCTGAATTAGACATAGTTAAGGCTCAGGGTCAGTGTCCAAGGCTAAAGTCTGGAACAGATATATTGACATTTAATGTAAGAGTAAGATTGTATAATAGGAATTGAGGTTTGATTAAAGAGCCAAGATAGGACCAGAGCAGGCAACTGTGGAGGAAATGGAAAAACAGTAAGATTAGGGCTAACAAACCAAGTTGGGGTCAAGCCAGAGGGACAGGTGGTAGCAAGCAGGAGGGCCTCCTCTGTACTTTCTCTTTCTGCTGCTGCTCCTCATCATACCTGGTGGCATCTTTGGTTGATGTAGACTGTGAAGGCAAATTATATGTTTCCATCAGGATGCTGAATCTTGAATGATTCTATGTCTGTTATAAGTTGCTTTCCTTTTAATGTCATGGAAGCCTTTTTAATGTTATTTTTTCTAAGCATTAGAAAGATACATATTTGATACTAAAGGTTCATGAATGATAATTGGGGTTTTTAATCATCAAACGTACTTTTTTCTTGATCTTTCAAGTGGGAAGTAAACATTTTGCTTATGAAAGTTTAATAATTTGGAGCCAAATATTTTGAGATTTCTTCTATTGCCACCGAGTAACTTTGCATGATACAAGTCGATTCAAAAATATTTTTACATTAGCGACAAAATGTCAATGTCAGGATTTATTTTACTGTACTACAATGGTCAAAATGCTAACTATTAATATAAACAATAGAAGTACTTCCCAAGGCACTAAAGTGATATGAGGAATTTCTATTTTTAAATTTTCAGTTGAAATTCAAAACATTATTACTCTCTTAATAAACAATAAAAAATAATTCATTATTAGAACTTTACACATAATCTTAGTTATTCAAATGTGCTTTACAGGGTATCTTTGATAAAAGTTGAGTTAATTTACATGTATCCATATGGTGCCAGCATGCAGTTCATACCATTTTACCTGAATGTGGTCATTACTATGTCAGACAATCAATTTTAATAGCAATGATACTGCAGTGTGAAGAGTTCATCTAGAGCTTAAAATCATCACCAGTACTGCTTTTGTGAAGGATAATTGAGATTTTGTGTGAAACATTGAATGAATTACCTCTTGAAAATGAAAAGAATAATGAAGATAAAGCACTAATGTTTAATGCTTAGCCTATACCAAGCAAATACGTGAAAATGAAATTGAACAGGAATTTAAGTCTTAAAATTGTTCAGAGAGCTTTGAGTGAACCTGAAAGTTGAACTCTTATGTTCTTATGAAGATAGAAAGCCTCATTGTTTTTTCTTAAAAGCTTAGTATACTTGAACCTTTTCCCAATTAAATACTGGGTTATTAAAAATATTTATTAATCACTACATGTTGTATACCAATGGAGATAAATATAAAACAAGAATGTTTAGTCTCTTCTAGTCAGTAGGAGGAATGATTTGTCACAATTTTTGTAGCATATAAATGTATTGTAAAATTTTTGTATTTCAGGGATTCATCAGAAGTAGTCATACATTCAGCTGATGCATTTGCACCTGTGGCTTATCTACGCTTTTTAGAATTGCACTTGGAGGACAAGGCAAGTAAATCTAAGATTCACAGTGATTTCAATAGAAATTTGAGATATATACATTGGCTTTGCATATATAATTCTGTAACAACAGATGACAGGAAAAAGAAAATTGATTTTTATCATTAGTGGTTTTTTTTCAGCTCCTCAGTCAATAACTAAGAATTTTACAAATGCTTATAGTTTTGAGTTATATATGATACAAAAGATACTACATTTATGAAAAGTTTGCAGGTCAGTTAAAAAGGGAATAGTATATACATTAAACAATGGGAGGACAATATAAAATCAAATATTAAATCATCTAGCAGGATCACATTTAAGTTACTGTACATAAGCATTAAGGGAAGGGTTTGAGGATAAATTGGATTGTCATTATTCAAAGCTTAAGAGAGGAAAAGGAGAAATAAAACCTTTACAAAAATATCCAGGAAAAGAGAAGTAAAAATGGAAGATGGAAAGTGAAGCAAAATTACAATAAAGAGTTTTATTTTAAATACACTGTCAAGATACAGTAAAATTTTAATTTAAAGATATCTTGTGGAATAAAGTTCTGGATTAGATTCCTTGATTGAGAGGTCTCATCCTTCAGATGTTGCTTTATATTAGTTACCATAAAAATGATAGCTGAAATTATGTGAAGAAATGAGTGTAGTGACAGAAAAGGATTAGAAAATGTCTTCTGTATATTTAGTGTTCTTTCCCCCAAGTCTTGAGGCACACCCACAGTTACATATTTTACATCATAGGAAATCTGAAGGAGTAAGAGGATTAACAAGAATTCGGCAAAAGTAGGAAAAGAGTGGTAATGCCAAAAATCTCAAGATGAGAGGGTTTCTACAGGTGAGGATAATTATAGGTGCCAGTTCTCCAGAAGAATGACAATGGGCAGGATTAAAAATAGGTTGTGGAATTGGGCTGGATGATGACTATTGGTGACCTTTTATCAAAAAGCTGGTAACCCCCACAAGAATTAAGTTACACTATCCAAATGTTTTTCAGATTTACTTGAACCCCTAACTTGTAGTTTTCTGCTACTTTTGCTACCATGTACGCACACACAAAGTCAAAAGCACTGAATTCATGTGTAGGCATTCCAGCCATTCTATGTTCAGCTCTACCCGAATAGCTCACTGTTCACCTCGTTGTTTTGGTATTTGATTGGTCTTCAGTATGACACCTCAAAGAAGCAATACTGTTACCTGAAATAGGCTGCGAAGATAACAGTATTTCAGATAACAGTATTACATCTTTGAAGTGTCATATTCACTGACACTGAATAAATATGGTGCATTTTCCTTCCCTTTCCTTCCCTTTTTTTTTTAGGTGTCCTCAGTGCCTGACAACTACAGAACATCTAATTATATATATAATTTTTGAAAAGTGTTTTGGAACATTGTTCATTAAACCACCATTTCTATACAAAAAAATTGCATAGTATTTTCTCAGTTACTATGACTAGTTTATTTTTTTCTCATGACTCTTATTTTTTTAGAGAAACATACTTTCACTAGAAGAGGTTAGTGGAACCATTTATTAATTGGGAAAATGTCGACGGCATGTTCATTAATAGTGCCAACTTTCTTGGAATTCACTCTTTCTCTTTCGTTAACACATCTTCCCTATGACCTTTTTTTTCTTTTATTTCATCTATAAACCCCATTTCTGTAGCATTTCTTTTTTTATCACACTAGTTTCTTTTCCTCCTTCTCTCTTTCTTGCTCCAATCCCTACCAATAATGTCATGATGCAGAGGCATTTGAAAATGAAGATGAAAAGATGGTCACTTTATTTAGCCAGTCAAGCTTATTCTACTGGGTGTCGCCAAAGCGATTTATCATTTTTATTTTAAATATATTCATGGTTGAAGTGTTTCAACGTTATTGGACAATTAGGAAGAATGTCCTTAACTCTTACAAGTTATTTTATAACTGATTTTTAAAATGCTGTTTTTCAGTATTAACTATGTTGACCTTAGAAAACTTTTACAAAAAATAGACTTTATGTTTTAGAACAGTTTTAGGTTCACAGCAAAAATGGAGCAGAAAATGCAGAGATTTCCCATATACCCTCTACCTCCACACATTCACAGCCTCCCCTACCGTCAATGTCTTATAATAGAGTGGTACATTTGTTACAACTGATGAACCTACATTGACACATTATTATCACCCAAAGTCCATAGTTTACGTGAGGGTTCACTCTTGGTGTTGTACATAATATGGGTTTTGACAAATGTGTAATGACATTTGTCAACCGTTATAGTATTATACAGAATAATTTCACTGCCTTAAAAAATCCTCTGTGTTTTACTTATTCATCCCTCCCTCTCCTTTAACCCTTAGCAACTGATCTTTTCACTGTGTACATAGTTTTGCTTTTACCAGAATGTAATGTAGTTGAAATCATACAGTATATAGCTTTTCATGCAGTATATAGCTTTTCAGATTGGCTTCTTTCATGTATTAATATGCATTTAGGTTTCTCTGTATCTTGTCATGTATATGTAGCTCATTTTTTTTTTAGTGTAGAATAAAATTTTATTGTCTGGTTCTACCACATTTCATTTGTCCATGCACCTATTGAAGAACATCTCAGTTGCTTCCATGTTTTGGCGATTATGAATAAAGCGACTATAAACATCCATGAACAGGTTTTTGTGTGAAGATAAGTTTTTTTCAGGTGTATAAATACCAAGGAGCACAATTACTGGATCATATGGTAAGATTATGTTTAGCTTTGTAAAAAAAACTGCCACACTGTTTTCCAAAGTAGTTGTACTATTTTGTATTCCCACCAACAATGAATGAGAGTTTCTGTTGTTCCACCTCCTGACCAGCATTGAGCATTGTAGGAATTTTGGACTTTTGCCATTCTGGTAGGTCTGAAGTGTTCTCTCATTGTTGTTTTAGTTTGCAACTACCTAAAGATATGTGATGTTGAACATCTTTTCATGTTTGTTTGCCATCTGTGTATCTCCTTTGGTGAGATGTCTCTTCAGATCTTTTGACTATTTTTAATTGGGGTTTTTGTCTTATTATTGAGTTTTAAGAGTTCTTTGCATATTTTGGATAACAGTTCTTTATCAAATATGTATTTGCAAATATGTTCTACCATTCTATGTTTTGTCTTTTCATTCTCTTAACAGTGTCTTTTACAAAGCACAAGTTTTTAATTTTAAGGAACTCCAGCTTATCAATTCTTTTTTTCTAGTATTATGCTTTTAATGTTATATCTATCTGTAAAATCATTGCAAAATCCAAGGTCATCTGGATTATCTTGTCGAAGCTTGATAGCTTTGTGCTTTATGTTTATGTTTGTGATACATTCTGAATTCATTTTTGTAAAGGACATAACATCTATATATGGATTCGTTTTTTAAAAATGTAGTTATTCAGTTGTTCCAGCACCATTTCTTGAAAAGACTATCTTTTCTCCATCATATTGCCTTGTTCTTTTGTATATTTGTGTGGTCTATTTCTGGGCTCCCCAGTCTGTTCCACTGATGGATTTGTCTCTTTTGCAAATACCACAGTCTTGATTACTATAGCTTTGCAGTAAATATTCAAGTCAGATAGTGTTTGTCTTCCAACTTTTTTCTTCTTCCGTATTGTATTGACCATTTTGGGTTTTTTGTCTCTTGATAAAAACCTTACAATCAGTTTTTCCGTATCCACAAAAAAACTTGCTTGGATTTTGACTGGGATTGAAGATCAATTTGGGAAGAATTGACATCATGACGATATTGAGTCTTTTTATCCATGAACATGCAATATCTCTTTGTTTAGTTCTTTGATTTCATTCATTGGAATTTTGTTTAGACACCTTTTTTCTCTTCATTGTTATAGCTTAATATGTTACATGTTGGCTCAATTAGGACTATTTGGGATTTTTCTTTTTTTTTTTTTCATATAACAGGCTTTAAGGTGGTATTCTTGGTGTGAATTCAGAGTTAGTTGATATGCCTCTCAGTCACAGGGTCCAGGGCTAAACTTTCACATGTTGCCAGCTTTACTCCTAAACTAACCCACATGGTAGAGAAGGAATTCTTTAGACAGAAAATGAAGTATGATTACCAAAAGAAAGATGAATAAATGCTGGATAACAAAAATGTCAGGTACTCTTCTACATATTTTATCAAAATCACATTGTATTTCAGATGCATCTTAACGAATTAACATTCCACCCCAAATATTAGTAATATCTAGAATGTAGTACCCTGAATACCACTCTTAAAATCAATCTGTTTTCTAAATTCCATCAGTTTTCATTTGCTTTATAACACATTTGCAATCTAGCTTGACCTTAATTACTTTGATGAACTGCTGTTGGCCTTTTTTCATTCTTCATAATCCTTAATGCCTTTCCTTGATAATACTGGCCACCATCTCTTTGAAAATTTCCCCTATAATGGTCATATGCCTCTGTACTAGTCTGACTTTTCTGCCTTTCTTTAGATTTCTCCTATCTTCTTCAGTAGCTTCTCTTCTTTTTACCTTCAACATGCACATATGCTGCAAGTTCTTTTTATAGGTCCATTCTTTTCTTTTTCAATATTTTCTTTTTCTGGAATTATGTATTTTCTGCAAGTTTACTTTTCACCTCTTTATCCAGATGATTCTAAAGTCACTCTCTTTCTAGTCTTTTACTAACATCTACTTTCTCCTTAACTCTAGGTTCTTATTTCTGACTGGCTGCTGCACATGGCTACCAATACATGTCATTCTCATTATGTACAAAACTTGAACTCATTTTCCCCTCAAAGTGTCTTTATTCCCTATTTTTGTTATTTAACACAACTGTTCTCCTCATAGTAACTCAACCACAGAATGTTGGAATCATCTCTTAAGCTATCCTCTCATTTACTATGAAAATTCAATTGATTATCTAATCTTTTATATTCTAGTCCTAATATGCACATATTTCCATCCCCATGCTTATCTCTCATTAAATTTATATCTTACCCAACTCTTGGACAAGATACAACTAATTCGAATCCTTGCTTTCATATTCTCTATAGTCAGTTTCACTGCCATATAGATTTTCTTTCTAGTGTATGACTCCCTGCACAAAATTCCACAATAGTACTTCATTATTTTCTAAGTGAATAAAATTATTAGCCATGAATGGAAGGCTATCTGACATATGGCCATAGCATCCTTTTTCAGTCTTGCTCCTAGGATTCCCCTGCCTGTCCACTTTGCTCTAGTGATACTGAACCAATGGCCACTCCCTGATTATGCCTCCTGCTTCTCTCCTTCGTTGCCTTATTCTGTCTTACCGGCTTTCCTTTCTTCTTCTCTTTTTAACTACTTAATCCTACAGACTATGCAAGATTGAACTAAAATACTCTTATACCTTTAGGCACAAGAGATGAACTGCCCTGTCAATTTGTTTCTCTTCCTTTCTTGTTGCAAATAACCTTATTTATTCTGCTTTATGTTTAGTTGTTTAAGGACTTATTCTTTCTACTAGGTTACATACAGATGTCTTGACTACTGTTCCATTTTCATCTTCATAAATTCTGTAACAGCTATTAGTTCTAATAAGAACTTTTTAATTTAATTGGTTGTTATTTTCATATTTTATTTTTTATTCATAAAGAATCTTACAGGTGTGTCTCCATTTCACATTATATGCCATTTAATGAGTTCTATTTTTTTTTCCATTTATCTTGTTAGAGAAAAATGCTTTAAGCAACTAGAATGTAAAATAAAACATTTAAAAATATTGTTAGTGTAAATTTTGATTTATCATTTAGACTTTCACTTTACATATGATGACCCTTAAACTTTTCTATTAAATAATTAATCTACTTAAATTTTACCTTTAAGTTAAAATTTTAAATTATTTATATGAATGTAAAAATGATATCAACTAAACATGGGATTCTAAACAAAATAACCAAATAATAGAAAGCTGTGAGATAAAAACGGAGAAATATATTAAAATTTCTTTGGGGCCCCAACTTTATTGCTTATGGCAAATTTGATAGTAAAATATACCATGCATCACTGCAGTGACAGGCTTGAGAAAATGAAAAATCCAAAGCTTTACATAAATCAATCAGAAAATCATATTAAAATGTATAACCTTTAACAGAAAAATCAGACTTTTACTTGCAACTACTCAGAAGGCTCTTTCTTCCTTATGAGGTTGTTTTAGATTTTCTAACAGCTTTATGGAAAATAGTATTTTAAATTAATTATTAGCAAAGCAATTGTATTTATAGAAAGACAAAGTTCACAGGAATTTAACCTCAATTTTATTAATGTTCCCTACTTTCACTTAGTATTTAATCGTGCTCTTGTTGAAATAATTTCCTAAGTACTAATGTATCCTATAATCAGCACTTAAGTTTATTTTTTGTTGAAATAATTTCCTGGGACAATTATATATTTTATATAATAATAAAAGCACACACTTTTAAAAGTTGTCACTTTTAAAAACATCATCAGTCTTACAGCCCATTCTTGGCTCTTTCATTTTATTTTGCTTTATTTGAGATATATCATCAAATGCCTTGAAAAACTTTATAATGTTTAGCCATCTCTGTGTTTTTATTTTTCTCTTCAATCCAGCATGTATCTTGAATACCTACTCTGTTTAAAAAACTACTAGGTCTACATGGAATCTACTATAAATGTAGGTAAATTACAGAGTAATTCTAGTCTTAATGCTAAAATGAAGGTACCACTGTAATCATTATTCCCAATGTTATGATTACATTGACAGATAACTCCAGTTTTGCTAACCTGAACTGATGTTATGGCCATAATATGTTGTTGATTCATGGCAAATGGTGATGTGTGAGTTATGATCCTGTTTTTCTCAAAATGGTGGTGGAGGCCGGGAGCTTATATGTTTATTTATGTATGAATGAGGATAGTAAGAGATGGCATATAATCACCAGACTGATCATATTGGATTCTTTGGGGAAGGGAGCAGGAAGGGAGTAAACAGAGAAGCTTAATTCTTTATATATCTGTAATCTGTGGCTTCTTAACAATGAGCATGTATTTTTAATTTTTTTAAATATCTGATTAAGAAAATTAAGAGAGAGCAGTATAGTGAGTTTCAGTGCTAAATAAACACTTAAATGTTATTCTTCAACATTTCACTAGTCTTGGTAGAAAGAGACAATAGGGCCCTTTAAAACTTTCCATTGAACTCAGGTGAAAACATTACTCACAATGGGGGATTGAAATCTAGTTGATCCTATAGTTAAGTCTATAAAAAGACCCCTTCAGAAAATTTTATATGTATACACACACACACACACACACACACACACACACACAAGATGACTAAAAGTGTTGGGATGGTAGGCCTCTTGAGTATGTTGTGCATGGGAATTTGCTGTCATCACTCATAGCAACGTGTATAAACTCAAGGATCCCATCCATGGAGGTATGCTGCCACTGCCTCTATACAACCTACAAAATATTTCCTTACAAATAGGACAAAGAAAGTAAGAAGATAAATGATGACTTTTATTTGCCAACATTTGGTTCAGCACAACTTTCCTACCCTGTCTCTCCCCACCTTTGCCCTTAGGCTAAGGAGCAGAAAAGTGATTTGTCAAGATGGAGCAAGGTATTTACCAGTCTAAAACCTAATGCTGTAAAACTAAATGAGACAACTTGGGGCTTGAATGGGTGCTGGGCTGTAGGTACTGCTGGGTCACTGTTGCTATAAATGGTCACTGGAGCAGATTAATAAATCAAGGATCAGTTTCACCCACATTTAAAGGACTACTTGACTCATTTCTGTCTCGAGTAAATGGACTTTGGTAGTAGCAACGCCATACCGTGATGATATCATTTGTGTTGGGAATCAAACTGGGCAATGCAAGAGTGTTTTTGAAGCCTAAATCTATGTAAGACTTATCAGTTTGGGAGAGGATAATAATAAAAGTAACAATCAATGCTTCCAAACTCCAATTGACTGTCTTTTTTAGCTTTTATATTTACCTAGTTGTTATGCTAACCAATTCAGCTTTTTACTGTTGCTGTTGTTGTTGTTTTAAGAAATAAAATTTCTGATTGCTGTTTTCATAAAGTTCCAGTTTGGTGATTTGTAATAAAAGATAATCCTCATACGATTTATTCATTCAGAACACATTTATTGACTGCTTATTCTTATATGCATGGCACTGTTTAGACATTGGGTGTACAATAGTGAACTGAACAGTTAAAAAATATTGCTTTCATGGAGCTTGTATTCTATGGAGTGAGACAGATAGAAAAGTAAATAAAAATACATTAGATGTGTTCATGAGAAAGTTGCCTCACTGACCATGGATTTGGTGATTGGGTTTTAGGGAATAAGCGTGATCTAGGAATCCTGAAGTACTTATAATGATAGATTTAAGCCCAGGTTGAGGGTCATATTACCAGTCCTTTTGGTCACATTGGCAGATGTTAGTTGTGAGTTGTGTTTGAGTTGTGTTTGAGAAAAGGGGTTAAGGTCTTTCCAATATCTTGTAGATATAGCCAGAGAGCAATTCAGTGAACTGGAAAAGAGGTCAGAAGAAAATATTCAGAATGAAACATGAAGAGAAACAAAGATAGAAAATACACATAAAAGAATTAAGAGGCATGGAAATAGTGAGAAGCTCAAAAATACATGTAATTAGAGTGTCAGAAAGACTAGAGGGAGAATGGGGAAGATGCAATGTTTAAAAGCATAGTAGCTAAGAGCCTCCCAAAATTAACAAAACACACCAAAGTATAGATTCAAGAAGTCTTATGAACCCCAAACAAAATAAAAGTAGATATTCAGGCACATGATGGTAAAACTGCTGGAAACAAAAGAAAAAGGAAAAAAAAAATTGAAAACAAAGTGGGTTAAAAACAGGCTACTTTCAAAGAAGCAACAATTAGAATGGAAATATTGAAGACAGTAGTCAATGAAATCAAATTTTTATAGTGCTAAATGAAAATGCCATCCTAGAATTCTGTACCCAGCAATAATATCCTTCAAGAATAAAAGTGGAGGAATTTCCAGGATGACAGTAATCTGTTTGTCAAAATTTATTTAATAGTTCAGTTGTGGTTTATTCATTTTGCTGTGTGTAATTTTTTTTTGAAGATATAAATACTTAACTCTAGTTAATAACATGCATGACACAGTCTAAATAAAGAGTAATGTCTGCAACTTACTGGGAAATGCATTAAAAATATGAAATGGATTGATGGCGAATGATAGGTATGTGATAAATAGAACAAAGTGCTAATTGTAGAGTGTAGGTAGTGGATATATAGGTGGTCATTGTAAAATCCTTTAGGCTTTTCCACATATATATAAATTTTTTCCTCAAAATATGTTGGGAAAAAACATGAAACTAAAGATTTTTCAAACAAAAACTAAGAAAATTTGTTTCCAGAAAATATCCACACCAAAGGATAGTAAAGGATATTAAGGCAGAAGGAAATTATTCCAGATAGAATATCAGAGATGCAGGAAAGAGATCAACGAGAAATGAAAAGAGTAAACATGAGAAAATATAAGCAGATATTAACTATATGTAAGAATAACATGATGTCTCCGAGTTTAAAATCTACATAGAATTAAATAAAAAGCAGTGCACATAACTAAGGGTGTTAGAGAAGTGGAGTTAAATGGTTAAAGTTTTTGCATTGTATATAAAAAAAGGCAAATGTTGAGATTCATAGTAACCCTCATAGATGTAGATAACATGTCATAAATTCTAGGATAACCACTAAAATAATATAAATGAGTATAATATAATCTAATGAAGTACGAAAAAATAGAATAATGAAAAATAATTTTTAAAAGGCAATAGAAAAAGAAAAAAGGCAAAACAGTAAGCTAAAATAAACATAGAGCAACTAGCAGAAGCAAATCATGGGGTAAGATTATATATTTAAGTGCAAATATATCAATAATTACATTAAATATAATTGTACCACTGTTTCACTTAAAGACAAAAAATATTAGATTGACTAGAAGGCAAACCCAAAGTCTATGCTCTTTGAAAGAGACACCACTAAAAATAAGGGCACAGAAAGAATGAAAGTAAGAGTGTGAAAACATGTGCCATGCAAAAGCTAGGCAAAAGAGAGTTTATGTAGATGTCTTTTAATAGAAGACAAAATAAATGAAAAGCATTATTGTAAAGTACACTGCAATATGTTAAAATGCTCAATTCTTCAGGAAGATATAACAATTCTTAATTTGTATATATATAATTACCATCTTAAAATATGTAACAGAAATTGACAGTAGGGGATTTCCTTATGACAAATTTGTAGTCATAATTCAAGATTTTTGCACGCTTCTTTCAAGTATTGATTTTAAAAACAGACAAAATCATCAAGGATATAGAAAATTAAAATAACACAATTAGCAAACGTGACCCTACAAACATAGAAACACAATGCCCAACAAGTGCAGTACACATATTATTTTCAAGGAAACTAGAAATTATACAAAAGTTAGTTATACCCAGGGCCATAATACAAGTCTACAAATGTCATAGGAATGAAAGTATGCAGGGAATGTTATATTACAATAAGATTATGCTAAAAATCAGTAATAAAAAAGATGGCTAGAAAGAAATATACTAGTAAGATCGCAGAGTGGGAAGTGACCAACCCTATTTCCCCATGGGGACAACAGTATATCCTTCAAAGAGCCTTTATGAGAACTCTAGAAACCAGTAAAGTCACACTACCCCAGACAAGCTCAGAGTCAAAAACAACCACATTGGGTAAGAAAAGCCATCTGTGTCAACTGTGATGCCCCCTCCCCAAAAACAGCACAACTTGGTGTGATCAGAAAGATCATGGCTTCTCCCTTGGGAGGAGAAAAGAATAGTGGAATGTTAAAGGTACATTCCAACTCTTTGGGGCAATGACTAAAGGGACTGGTTTGTATCTCATCAGACTTGGAGTGCAGACAGGGTCCTGACATACTTTGGATGCCTACAAGTTACAAAGAAAAATAGAAAGTTTAGAAGCTTATTACAATGCCTGAAAACTGGCAATAATAAAGATGGAGGCCAGCAGAGCTTGCCACATTTGGGTTAAAGTGACCAACTCAGTTTCTCCCACAGGAGGGTAAGAGAAGGGCAGAACATGTGTCCAGTATTCCAGATTTTCAGATGGCTACCCAAGTGTCTGGTTACTGTCTCTCCTGACTTGGAGTGCTGACAGAACTGACATGTTTTGGATTCCTGAGGGCCACAGAGAACAGAAAAGAAAGCTGCAAAGAGAGCTCAGTGGCTTGTAATGGTTCCAGAGAACCTGTAGCACTGCAGACAGACACTCTACAGAGTAAGAGATCACAAGCTTCTGAAAAGGAAACTGGAAAACTTCTCTCCTTGTGAAATTACATGCACAAACCCAGGAAAGAGGCATCCCCAGAAAAGCTTTAAGAGGACCCAAAATTTCTAACTGGGTTGACTGGTGAAGGTCTTCCCCTGTGTGAAGCCACTTTATAAAGATTGGAAGAGACATTTGCTTTTTCAAATGCAAAAAATGTAACAAATAAGACACATAAAGAAACAGGGAAACATGACCCAATCGGAGGCCCAAAATAGATCTTCAGAAACTGGCTCTGAAAAAATGAAAATCTATTAATATGAATTACTTGACAAAGAATTCAAAGTAATCATTACAAAGCTCAATGTGCTGTAAGAAAACATTAAAATAAACAACTAAATGAAATCAGGAAAATGATGCATAAACAAAATGAGAAAACCAACAAAGGAATAGAAAGTATGAAAAGGAAATAGAAAATCTGGAACCAAAGAATATAAAAACTGAACCAAAAAATTCACTGGAGAGGTTCAACAGCAGATTTTATCAAGCAGAAGAAGGAATCAGGAAACTTGAAGTCAGGTCATTTGAATTTTTTGAGTCAGAGTATAAAAAAGGGAGAAAAAAAGAAAGAAGAGTGAAGAAAGCCTAAAGAACTTATGGGACATGATCAAGCAGACCAATCTATACAGTATGAGAGTACAAGAAGGATAAGAGAGGGAAAAAAAAAAAGAGAGGTTATTTAAAGAATGGCTGAAAATTTCCCAAATCTGAGAAATGATGTAGATATCCAAATTCAAGATCAAAGGACTAAAAATAAGACAAACCTAAAAAGGCCTGCACTTAGATACATTACAATCAAACTGTTGAAAGTTAGAGAGTGACATAGGCAAGATGGTGGAAAATGAGGTTCCCCAGCTCATATCCCTCAATATTAACAATAACTTGGCAAACATTCACAGACGAAAATGCCCTTGTGGGAGTATTGAGATCCAGGTAGGAGGATGCAGAACCTCACTGATGCCCAAGACTTTGGAGGGCCACTTTGAGAAGACTAGCCTATGCCCCAGTGGCAGGCTAGCTGACAGTGGCCTCAGCTGCATGTCAGTAACAGCCCTATTCTCCCGTAGTCTCAGTTCCGGACACGCTTGGTCTCTGTCCTGCCCATGATCCCATTTGTCAGGGCACATGGGAGGAATCAGGTTGGCTTATACCTTCATTAGAAGGCCAACAAACTTAGTCCCGGCTGTGGATCCTGAGACCTGTGACTCAGCTACAGCCCTGCTTTGCTGTAGGGAGAAGTCCTGCCTACCCAAGGACCTGGTAGGAGATATGCCTGTTCATTCCTCCAGTGGCAGGCCTGCTGACCTCACACCCAATTGTGTACACTAAAGTGGCCCTTAACTGGGCTCTAGCCCCAATCTACCATAGCCCAGAGACAGTCCTGCCAACCCAGGGACCTCTGGGAGACACACCCATCTATGCCCCCAATCTACCATAGCCCAGAGACAGTCCTGCCATCCCAGGGACCCTCTGGGAGATACACCCATCTATGCCCCCAATAGCAGGCACACCATTAAGGTATCTGGCTATAGACCTTGAACTGGTCCTGTGACTTAATTCCATTTCCACTCTGCTATGGCCTGGGGGCAGTGCTACCCACATATGTTACCTTCAAAAGACACATCTATCCATAGCCCTGGTAACAGGCCTGCTGAACTCACCCTACCTCAGTGCTGAAGCAGCCCTATGACTTGACTCTATCCCCCATCTATTGTGGTTAATGGGTGTCTAGTAGGAGCCATGCCTATTAAGACCCTGCTAATGGGCCTGCCATCTGCAGACCCAGAAGTCCTCTTGTGACCCACCTCCAACCTTGCTTGACCATGGTTCCAGAGGTAGTCCCATCTGATTGGTACCAGGCAGGAATTGTGCCCACCTGTGCCCGCAGTAACAGGCCCTTCAACTGTGTACCTGACTACAGACCCAGCAGCATCCATGTGAGACAGCTCTAGCCCCAGTTAATCGTGATCTTGGAGGCAGCCCTATCAATCTGGGGACCCAGCAGGAGAAGTTTTTTACCTGCAAAAATCAGTCTGTTAAAGACTGGAAAAGGTGTTTGCTCTTTCAGATGCATAGAACAACAATGCAAGGCTAAATGGTGCAAAAAATCAAGCAAACATAACCAAAGGAAATGAATAAAGCTCCAATAACCAGCGCTAAAGAAATGGAAATGCATGAACTGCTTGACAAAGAATTCAGAATAACCATTTTAAAGAAGTTTAATAAGCTATAAGAGGACAAAGATAGACAACTACTGAAGCCAGGAAGACAATACATGAATAAAATGGGAAGTTTAATTTTGAAAAAAATATAGAAACCTTAAAAAAACAACCAGATGGAAATCCTGGAACTGAAGAATACAATGACTGAACTGAAAAACTTAGAAGATGACTCCAAAAACAGACACAATGAGACCCTCTGAAGGAAGTGGACTGCTCCTGCAGGACCCAGGAGTCCCCCCGCCCAAAACTGTGAGTGCCCCAACTGCAGAAGTGGCAAAGGGAGACCTTTCTCTCCCAAACATGCACCCACTGGCTAAACTGAAGGTCTGTTTATGGGAGAAGTTTCCGACTTTAGCTGGAGCTGAGTCAATTTGGAGAGCCAAGCAAAATACAGGGGTGGAGGAAGCAGCAGAAAGGCCCTGGGAGCTCACTGGGTCCTCTAGCAGGCCATTCCTGCCTGGCACCACAGGGATCCAATGGGAGAGAAGCAGGGAGTAAAACTACACAGAGAGAAGCAAATCTCTAGCTGAACTTTGTAACAATTTGAACAGAGTGAGAAGCCTTCTGTCCAGAACTTGGGGAAGGGCGCGAATCTGGTGTGCAGACTCCACAGGCAGGGGAAGAACCAAGCCCTTTTCTTTCACAGGTTGGGGTCAGACAGCCTGCAGTAGATTTTCAAGCCTGTATTGCTCTCTGCCTAGAAACAGTCTGGGGGGTGTTGAGGGGACATGGTGGGAGTGAGACCGGCCCTTGGGTTTGCTGGGAGCTGGGTGAGGCCTGTGACTGCCAGCTTTCCCCCACCTGTCTGACAACCTGCATGACTCAGCAGAGGCAGCGATAATCCTCCTAGGTACACAACTCCAGTGACCTGAGAATCTCACCCCCATCCCCAACAGCAGCCACAGCAAGACACGCCCACGGAGAGTCTGAGCTCACACACACCTAGCCCCACCCTCACCTAATGGTCCTTCCCTACCCAACCTGGTAGCGGAAGACAAAGGGTATATAATCTTGGGAGTTCTAGGGCCCTACCCACCACTAGTTCCTCCTCATAATACCACAGCTGATGCTCTCTGGAAAGTGCCACCTCCTGGCAGGAGGCCAACCAACACAAAAATTGAACATTAAACCACCAAAGCTAAGAATCCTCATGGTGTCTATTGCATCCCCCGCCACCTCCACCAGAACAGGTGTTGGTATCTCTGGCTGAGAGATCCATAGATGGTTCACATCACAGGACTCAGTGCAGACAACCCCCAATACCAGCCCAGAGCCAGGTAGACTTGCTGTGTGGCTAGACCCAGAAGAGAGACAACAATCACTGCAGTTTGGATCACAGGAAGCTACATCCATAGGAAAAAGGGGAGAGTACTACATCAAAGGAACACCCCATGGGACAAAAGAATCTGAACAACAGCCTTCAGCCCTAGAACTTCCCTCTGACAGAGGCTACCCAAATGAGAAGCAACCAGAAAACCAACCCTGGTAATATGACAAAACAAGGCTCTTCAATGCCTCCAAAAAAATCATACTAGTTTAACCAGCAATGGCTCCAAATGAAGAAGAAATCCCTGATTTACCTGAAAAAGAATTCAGGAGGTTAGTTACTAAACTAATCAGAGAGGGACCAGAGAAAGGCAAAGCCTAATGCAAGGAAATCCAGAATATGGTACAAGAAATGAAGGGAGAAATATTCAAGGAAATAGATAACTTAAAGAAAAAAAAATCAAAAATTCAGAAAACTTTAGACACACTGTTAGAAATGTGAAATACTCTGGAAAGTCTCAGCAATAGAATTGAACAAGTAGAAGAAAGAAATTCAGAGCACAAAGACAAAGTATTCAACCAATCCAACAAAGACACAGAAAAAAGAATAAGAAAATATGAACAAAGCCTCCAAGAAGCCTGGGATTACATTAAACAACCAAACCTAAGAATAATTCGTGTTCCTGAGGAAGAAGAGAATTCTAAAAGCTTGGAAAACATATTTGGGGGAACAGTCAAGGAAAGCTTCCTCAGCCTTGCTAGAGACCCAGACATCCAAATACAAGAAGCACAAAGAACACCTGGGAAATTCATCACAAAGAGATCTTCACCTATGCACATTGTCATCAGGTCATCCAAAGTTAAGACAAAGGAAAGAATCTTAAGAGCTGTGAGACAGAAGCACCAGGTAACATATAAACCTATAAACCTATCAGATTAACAGCAGATTTCTCAGCAGAAACTCTACAAGCGAGAAGTGATTGGGGCCATATCTTCGGTCTCCTCAAACAAAACAGTTATCAGCCAAGAATTTTGTATCCAGTGAAACTAAGCATCATATATGAAGGAAAGATACAGTCATTTTCAGACAAACAAATGCTGACAGAATTCACCATTACCAAGCCACCACTACAAGAACTAAAAGGAGCTTTCAATCTTGAAATAAATCCTGAAAACACAACAAGACAGAACCTCTTTAATGCTAAATCACACAGAACCTATAAACAAAATACAAGTTAAAAAGCAAAAACAAAAATAAAATACACAGAGGGAGCCAAGATGGCCAAATAGGAATAGCTCCAGTCTACAGCTCACAGTGTGAGCAACGCAGAAGATGGGTGATTTCTGCATTTCCAACTGAGATACCGGGTTCATCTCACTGGGGAGTGTCGGACAGTGGTGCAAGACAGTGGGTGCAGCACACCGAGTGTGAGCTGAAGCAGGGCGAGGCATCGCCTCACCTGGGAAGCACAAGGGGTCAGGGAATTCCCTTTGCTAGTCAAAGAAAGCGGTGATAGACGGGACCTAGAAAATTGGGTCATTCCCACGCTAATACTGCGCTTCTCCAACAGTCTTAGCAAACGGCACAACAGGAGATTATATCCCGCACATGGCTAGGAGAGTCCTACGCCCACGGAGCCTCGCTCATTGCTAGCACAGCAGTCTGAGATCAAACTGCAAGGCGGCAGAGAGGCTGGGGGAGAGGCACCCGCCACTGCCGAGGCTTGAGTAGGTAAACAAAGTGGCCAGGAAGCTCGAACTGAGTGGAGCCCACTGCAGCTCAAGGAGGCCTGCCTGGCTCTGTAGACTCCACCTCTGGGGGCAGGGCATAGCCAAACAAAAGACAGCAGAAACCTCTGCAGTTTTAAATGTCCCTGTCTGACAGATTTGAAGAGAGTAGTGGTTCTCCCAGCATGCAGCTTGAGATCTGAGAATGGACAGACTGCCTCCTCAAGTGGGTCCCTGACCCCCGAGTAGCCTAACTGGGAGGCACCTCACAGTAGGGGCAGACTGACACCTCACATGGCCAGGTACTCCTCTGAGACAAAACTTGCAGAGGAATGATCAGGCAGCAACATTTGCTGTTCACCAATATCCGCTGCTCTGCAGGCTCCACTGCTGATACCCAGGCAAACAGGGTCTGGAGTGGACCTCCAGCAAACTCCAACAGACCTGCAGCTGAGGGTCCTGACTGTTAAAATGAAAACTAACAAAAAGAAAGGACATCCACACCAAAAACCCATCTGTACGTCACCATCATCAAAGACCAAAGGTAGATAAAACTACAAAGTTGGGGAAAAACCAGAGGAGAAAAACTGGAAACTCTAAAAATCAAAGCACCTCTCCTCCTTCAAAGGAATGCAGCTCCTCACCAGCAACAGAACAAAGCTGGACAGAGAATGACTTTGACGAGTTGAGAGAAGAAGTCTTCAGATGATCAAACTACTCTGAGCTAAGGGAGGAAGTTCAAACCCATGGCAAAGAGGTTAAAAACCTTGAGAAAAGATTACATGACTGACTAACTAGAATAACCAATGCAGAGACATCCTTAAATGACCTGATGGAGCTGAAAACTACGGCACGAGAACTATGTGACGAATACACAAGCTTCAATACCGATTCGATCAACTGGAAGAAAGGGTATCAATGATGGAAGATCAAATGAATGAAATGAAGTGAGAACAGAAGTTTAGAGAAAAAAGAATAAAAAGAAATGAACAAAGCCTCCAAGAAATATGGGACTATGTGAAAAGACCAAATCTACATCTGGTTGGTGTACCTGAAAGTGACGGGGAGAATGGAACCAAGTTGGAAAACACTCTGCAGGATATTATCCAGGAGAACTTCCCCAATCTAGCAAGGCAGGCCAACATTCAAATTCAGGAAATACAGAGAATGCCACAAAGACACTCCTTGAGAAGAGCAACTCCAAGACACATAATCGTCAGACTCACCAAAGTTGAAATGAAGGAAAAAATATTAAGAGCAGCCAGAGAGAAAGGTTGGGTTACCCACAAGGGGAAGTGCATCAGACTAACAGCTGATCTCTCGGCAGAAACTACAAGCCAGAAGAGAGTGGGGGCCAATATTCAACATTCTTAAAGAAAAGAATTTTCAACCCAGAATTTCATATCCAGCTAAACTAAACTTCATAAGTGGAGGAGAAATAAAATCCTTTACAGACAAGCAAAGGCTGAGAGATTTTGTCACCACCAGGTCTGCCCTAAAAGAGCTCCTGAAGGAAGCACTAAACATGGAAAGGAACAAGCGGTATCAGCCACTGCAAAAACATGCCAAATTGTAAAGACCATCGAGGCTAGCAAGAAACTGCATCAAATAACGAGCAAAATTACTACCTAACATCATAATGACAGGATCAAATTCACACATAACAATATTAACCTTAAATGTAAATGGGCTAAATGCTCCAATTAGAAGACACAGACTGGCAAATTGGATAAAGAGTCAAGACCCATCAGTGTGCTGTATTCAGGAAACCCATCTCACATGCAGAGACACACATAGGCTCAAAGTAAACGGATGGAGGAAGATCTCCCAAGCAAATGGAAAACAAAAAAAGGCAAGGGTTGCAATCCTAGTCTATGATAAAACAGACTTTAAACCAACAAATATCAAAAGAGACAAAGAAGGCCATTACGTAATGGTAAAGGGATCAATTCAACAAGAAGAACTAACTATCCTAAATATGTATGCACCCAATACAGGAGCACCCAGATTCATAAAGCAAGTCCTTAGAGACCTACGAAGAGACTTAGATTCCCACACAATAATAATGGGAGACTTTAACACCTCACTGTCAATATTAGACAGATCAACAAGAGAGAAAGTTAACAAGGATATCCAGGAATAAGTTAGGAAATCCTCCCTAACTTATTTTATGAGGCCAGCATCATCCTGATAGCAAAGCCTGCAGAGACACAACAAAAAAAAGAGAATTTTAGACCAATATCCCTGATGAACATCAATGCAAAAATTCTCAATAAAATACTGGCAAACCGAATTCAGCAGCACATCAAAAAGCTTATCCACCATGATCAAGTGGGCTTCATCCCTGGGATGCAAGGCTAGTTCAACATAGGCAAATCAATAAACATAATCCAGCATATAAACAGAACCAAAGACAAAAACCACATGATTATCTCAATAGATGCAGAAAAAGCCTTTGACAAAATTCAACAACGCTTCATGCTAAAAACTCTCTATAAATTTCATATTGATGGGACATATCTCAAAATAATAAGAGCTATCTATGACAAACCCACAGCCAATATCATACTGAATGGGCAAAAACTGGAAGCATTCCCTTTGAAAACTGGCACAAGACAGGGATGCTCTCTCTCACCACTCCTATTCAACATAGTGTTGGAAGTTCTGGCCAGGGCAATCAGGCAGGAGAAGGAAATAAAGGGTATCCAATTAGGAAAAGAGGAAGTCAAATTGTCCCTGTTTGCAGATGACAAGATTGTATCTCTAGGAAGCCCCATCGTGTCAGCCCAAAATCTCCTTAAGCTGATAGGCAACTTCAGCAAAGTCTCAGGATACAAAATCAATGTGCAAAAATCACAAGCATTCTTATACACCAATAATAGACAAACAGAGAGCCAAATCATGAGTGAACTCCCATTCACAATTGCTTCAAACAGAATAAAATACCTAGGAATCCAACTTATAAGGGATGTGAAGGACCTCTTCAAGGAGAACTACAAACCACTCCTCAACAAAATAAAAGAGGACACAAATAAATGGAAGAACATTCCATGCTTATGGATAGGAAGAATCAATATCGTGAAAATGGCTATACTGCCCAAGGTAATTTATAGATTCAATGCCATCCCCATCAAGCTACCAATGACTTTCTTCACAGAATTGGAAGAAACTACTTTAAAGTTCATATGGAACCAAAAAAGAGCCTGCATCACCAAGTCAATCCTAAGCCAAAAGAACAAAGTTGGAGGCATCACGCTACCTGACTTCAAACTATACTACAAGGCTACAGTAACCAAAACAGCATGCTACTGGTACCAAAACAGAGATATAGACCAATGGAACAGAACAGATCCCTCAGAAATAACGCCACATATCTACAACTATCTGATCTTTGACAAATCTGACAAAAACAAGAAATGGGGAAAGGATTCCCTATTTAACAAATGGTGCTGGGAAAACTGGCTAGCCATATGTAGAAAGCTGAAACTGGATCCCTTCCTTACACCTTATACAAAAATTAATTCAAGATGGATTAAAGACTTACATGTTAGACTTAAAACCATAAAAACCCTAGAAGAAAACCTAGGCAATACCATTCAGCACATAGGCATGGGCAAGGACTTCATGTCTAAAACACCAAAAGCAATGGCAACAAAAGCCAAAATTGACAAATGGGATCTAATTAAACTAAAGAGCTTCTGCACAGCAAAAGAAACTACCATCAGAGTGAACAGGCAGCCTACAGAATGGGAGAAAATTTTTGCAATCTACTCATCTGACAAAGGGCTAATATCTAGAATCTACAGTGAACTCAAACAAATTTACAAGAAAAAAACAAACAACCCCATCAAAAAGTGGGCGAAGGACATGAACAGACACTTCTCAAAAGAAGACATTTATGCAGCCAAAAGACATGAGAAATTTCTCATCATCACTGGCCATCAGAGAAATGCAAATCAAAACCACAATGAGATACCATCTCACACCAGTTTGAATGGCGATCATTGAAAAGTCAGGAAACAACAGGTGCTGGAGAGGATGTGGAGAAATAGGAACACTTTTACACTGTTGGTGGGACTGTAAACTAGTTCAACCATTGTGGAAGTCGGTGTGGCGATTCCTCAGGAATCTAGAACTAGAAATATCATTTGACCCAGCCATCCCATTACTGGGTATATACCCAAAGGATTATAAATCATGCTGCTCTAAAGACACATGCACACGTATGTTTATTGTGGCACTATTCACAATAGCAAAGACTTGGAACCAAGCCAAATGTCCAACAATGATAGACTGGATTAAGAAAATGTGGCACATATACACCATGGAATACTATGCAGCCATAAAAAATGATGAGTTCATGTCCTTTGTAGGGACACGGATGAAGCTGGAAACCATCATTCTCAGCAAACTATCGCAAGGACAAAAAACCAAATATCACATGTTCTCACTCATAGGTGGGAATTGAACAAAGAGAACACATGGACACAGGAAGGGGAACATCACACACCGGGGCCTGTTGTGGGGTGGGGGTAGCGGGGAGGGATAGCATTAGGAGATATACCTAATGTTAAAGGTCGAGTTAATGGGTGCAGCACACCAACATGGCACATGTATACATATGTAACAAACCTGCACGTTGTGCACATGTACCCTAAAACTTAAAGTATAATAAAAAAAATTGAAGGAGTTCATTATCACTAGGACTGCTTTACAAGAGTTTTAAAGTTGAAACAAAAAAAAAGCTAAGCAATAATACAAATGCATATGAAAATATAAATTGTAGTATGAAAGCTAAACATAAAGACAAACTCAGAAAATTGTAATACTGTAATCATGCACCTTAACATTTAATACTTACATAAATTAGAAAACAGAAGTAGTCAGAATAACTGTATCCACAAATATTTTTCAATTTAAACATAATATAGAAAGAAGCAATATCTGGCTGTGTGAGGTGACTCACAGCTATAATGCCAGCACTTTGGGAGGCCGAGATGGGAGGACTGCTTGAGCCCAGGAGTTTGAGACCAGTATGGGCAACATAGGGAGAGCTCATCTCTATTAATTTTTTTAATTAGCCAAGTGTGCTGGTGAGCACCAGTGGTCCTAGCTACTCAGGAAGCTAAGTAGAGAGGATCCCTTGATCCCAAGAGTTCAGTGCTGCAGTGAGCCATAATTGCACCACTGCACTCCAACCTGAGTGACAGAGTGACACCTTGTCTCTCAAAAAAAAAAAAAAAAAGAAGTCTGACATCAATTACATAAAATGTGTGTTGGGGAGGAGTAAAGTATAGAGTAACTTCTGTAATCTAAGATCAGTGGTTGTGAGCTTAAAACAGACTGATGTAACCATAAAATATTTTATGTGATCTCCATGGTAACCACAAAAATAATGTAAAGTGGATACACAAAAGATAGAAAATAATAAAAGCACATCACCATGAAAAATCATCAAATCACAAGTCAACATGAGAAGAAGAGAGGAGCAAGAGAACAAAACAGAAAGAAAAAATTAACCAAATGGCAAGAGTAAGTCCTAACCTATCAATAATTACTTTAAATATAACTGTACTAATTTCCCAAGTCAAAATATATACAGTGGCTAAATGGAAAAATAAAAAAACAACACAATCCAACTATATGCTATCTATGAGAGACTCACTTTAAATTTAACAACACACATAGACTGAAAGTGAAAGGATGAGAAATAAATGTCATACTAATGGTAACCAAATGACAGCAGGGGTTGATATACCAGTCAAAATAAACTTTAAGTCAAAAATTGTCACAAGAGGCAAAGAAGAACATATAAGGATTTAAAAAGTCAGTTCCCAGAAAGATGTAATTTTATATATATTAGGTGAATATATACAGCAAGCATGAAGAATTGAAAGAATTGCAGGGATAATTAGATAGTAACACAATAATGATAGAGATTTTAATATTCCAATTTCAATAACGTATAGATCAGCCAGAGAAAAGTAAAGAAACAGAAGACTTGAACAACACTCTAGACAAATTGGTCTTTATAGATAAATGCAGAGCATTCCACCCAACAACAGCAGAATACACATTCTTCTAAAATGCCCACAGAATGTTTCTAAAGATGACATGTTAGGCCACAAAACAGGTCTTAACAAATTTAAGAAAATTGAAATCATACCATCTATCTTCTCTAACCACAGTGGAATTAAACTAGAAATCAATAGCAAAAGGAACACTTGAAAATTCCTAAATATGTGGAAATTAATACACTCTTGAATGATGAATGAATCAAAGAAGAAATCACAAGAGAAATGCGAAAATATCTTAGGTCAAGTGAAAATGAAAACAGAACATAGCCAAACTTATTGGATGCAGCAAAAGCAGCTCTAAGAGGGAAATTTGGAGTAGTAAATGCCTACCTTTAAAAAGAGAAAAGATGTCAAATAAAAATTCTAACATTATATCTCAAAGAACTACAAAAGTAAGAACAAACTAAACTCAAAGTTAATAGAAGGAAGAAACTAACAAATGTTAGAGCAGAAAGTAATGAAGCAGAGAATAAAAACAATTTTAAAAATTAACAAAACTAAATTGGTTTTTTGAAAAGATCAATAAAAGCAACAAACCCTTAGCTAGACTAAGAAAAAAAAAAAAACAGACTCCAGTAATAAAAATCAGAAATGAAAGAAGACATTGCAACTGATGATACAGAAATACAAATGATCACAAGAGATTTCTAGAAACAACTATATAATAATAAAATTTGACAACTTCAAAGCAATGGATAAATTCCTAGGAATTTACCAAGCCTGACTCATGAAGAAATAAAAATTCTTTGTAGACCAATAACGAGTAAGGAGACGTAATCTGTAATCAAACAGGTCCCAACAAGGAAAAGCTTAGGACCAGTGACTTCACTGAAGAATTCTTGCAGCCATTTAAAGAACTAACAAAAATCCTTCTCAAACTCTTGCAAAAAATTTAGAACAAACCTCCAAATTCATTTCAGAAGTCCAGCATTACCCTGATACCAAAATCAGGCAGATACTTTAAGAAACGAAAACTACAAACCAATATCCCTGATGAATGTCGATGCAAAAATCTTCAGCAAAACACTAGCATGCTTAATTCAACAACACATTAAGAGTTACACCAATTACTTTTAGAATGCAAGAAGATGGTTCAATATATGAAAATCAAATTAAGACATCACATTAACAAAATAATGGACAAAAACCACATAGGCCAGGGGCAGTGGCTCATGCCTGTAATTCCAGTACTTTGGGAGCCCGAGGTGGGCAGATCACTTGAGGTCAGGAGTTCAAGACCAGCTTGGCCAACATGGTGAAACCCTATCTCTACTAAAAATAACAAAAATTAGCCAGGTGTGGTGGCACACGCCAGTAATAGCTACTCCAGTGGCTGAGGCACAAGAATTGCTTGAACCCAGAAGGCAGAGGTTGCAGTAAGCCGAAATCACTCCACTGCACTCCAGCCTGGGTGACAGAGGGGGAGACCTTGTCTCAAAAAAACAAAACAAAACAAAAAAACAAACAATGCACGTAGTCAACTGGATGCCAAGGAAGGCATTTGACAAAATGTAATACCTTTTCATGATGAAACTACTAAACAAACTAGAAATAGTAGGAAATTACCTCAATATGGTAAAGGCCATATATGAAAAGCTTATAGCTATTATTTTTCTCAGTAACAAGTGAAAAACTGTAAGCTTTTCCTCTTAAGATTGGTAACAAGGGAAGGATGCCCTCTCTCACCACTTCTATTCAACGTAGTGTTGGAATTCCAGATTAATTAGGCAAGAAAAAGAAATAAAAGAGATCTAAATCAGAAAGGAAGAAGTAAAATTAACTCTGTTCACAAATGACATAATCTTATATATAGAAAACCCTAGAGATGTAATACACAAAACCCAAAAACTGTTAAAACTAGTAAATGAATTCGTAAATTTCAGGATACAAAATTGACACACAAAAATTAGTTGCATTTCTGTACATTATCAGCAAAATACCTGACAAGGAAATTATTAAGAAAACAAATATAATTTACAATGATATCAAAAAGAATAGCATACTTATAGATATAGTTGCTCCAGGAGGAAAAAAACGTATACACTGAGAATTCTAAAACATTGCTGAAAAAAATTAAACAAGACACAAATAAAGGGGAAGACATCCCGTGATCATGGGTTGAAAGACTTAATAGTGTTAAAATATTTGTACTGTAATCTACAGATTCCTTGAAATCTCTATTAAAATTCCAAAGGCTTTTTTTCAGAAGTAAAAAAGACTATCCTAAAGTTCATGTGGTATCTCAAAAGACCATGACTAGCCAAAAAATCTCAACTTCCTATTTCAATAACGAAAACAAAGCTGTAGTTATCACACTTGCTGATTTCAAAACATATTACAAATATACAGTAGTCAAAACGGTATGATACTAACATAAAAATAGACCTATAGACCCATGTAACAGAACAAAGAGCCCAGAGAAATCTTTATGTATATGGTCAAATGATTTTCAGCAAAGATGTCAAAACTACACAATGGAAAATAGTCTCTTCAACAAAAGATGTTGGGAAAGCTGGATATCCACATGCAAAACAATGAAGTTGGACCCACTCTTACACCATATACAAAAAGTAATTAAAAATGGATTAAATATCTAAATGTAATACTTTAAACTACAAAACTTCTGGTAGAAAACATAGAAGGAAATGTTCATGACATTGGATTTGGCTGTGTTTTACTGGACATGACAACAAAGGCACAGACAACAAAAGTAAACATAGATGAATGGGACTACATCCAACTTTAAAACTTTGGTGCAGCAAATGAAATAATCAACAGAATGAAAAGTTTGGGAAACCAAATACAGAAAGTATTTGCAAACTATATGTTGGTAAAGGGGTTAATATTCCAGAATATATCAAGAATTTCTATAACTCAATACCCAAGAAAATAATAATAATCTAATTTTAAAATGGTCAAAGGACTTGAATAGACATTTTTCCAAAGATGAAATACAACAGCCTACAAACATATAAAAAGATGCTCAACATCACTATCAGGGAAATGCAAATCAAAACAACAATGATATTACCTCATATCTATTGGGATGGTAATCAACAAAAACACAGAAAACTAACAAGTGTTCTTGAAGATGAGGAGAAATTGGAACCCTCATGCACTTTGGTGAGAATGTAAAATGTATTTTACATTCTCACCAATATGGAATACAGCCAATATGGAAAATAGTATGGCGGTTCCTCAACAAATTACAGCTACCATATTATACCACAATCCCACTTCTGGGTATGTATCCAAAAGAATTGAAATAAGATATTGAAGAGATATTTGGACTCCAAGTTTATTGCAGTATTTTTCACAATAGCCAAGATGTGGAAGCAACCTAAATGTCTATCAACAGATGAATGGTTAAAGAAAGTATAGTATATCCATACAGTGGAGTGTTATTCAGTCTTCATAAAAAAAAAAAAAAAGGAGGAGGCTGGGTGTGGTGGCTCACACTTACAATTCCAGCACTTTGGGAGGCCTAGGCAGGAGGATCACTTAAACCCGGGAGTTTGAGCCAGCCTGAGCAACAAAGTGACGCCCCATCTCTACAAACAAACAAACAGGCAATTCTGTCATATATGACAACATGAATAAACCTTGAGGACATTATGCTAAGTGAAAAGCCAGTTACAAAAAGACAAATATGGAATGATTCCAAGTATATGTGGTAGCTATAGTAGTCAAAATCTTAGAACTATATAGTAGAATAGTGTTTGTCAGGGGCTGTGTGGAAGGGGAAAAGGAGAGTTCAATGGGTTTAGAGTTTCAGTTTTGCAAAAGGAAGTTTTAAAGATTTGTTGCACAACAAGATGCCTATAATTAATAATACTGTACTGTACACTTAAAAATACTCAAGATTGTAAATTTTATGCTATAACCAGATACCTGAGAGGGGAGGGTAACAAAAAAAATTTTTTTAAAGGGTAAATTTTATTGTGCATTTTTTACCACAATAAAAAAGCTAGCTAGAAAATCTTAAAATATGTGAGAATTAAAAGCAATAAATATCTAAATATATGGAACAAGGAATAAATATAAAGAGAAATTAATAATTTTTGAACCATAAGCTAATGAAAAAATTCACATATCAAAATTGTGAAGTAATATTAAAGCACTAGACATTTGTAGCCTCAAATGTATACACTGGATAAACGGAAAGGCTGAAAATCAATGACCTAAGCATTCCTCTTAAGAAGGTAGGTAAACAACAACAATTTAACAATAAGAAACAGATAAGGAAATAAAAAGGTTAAAATAAGAAATTAAGTCGAATATAAACACACAATAGAGAAGTCATGGAAGTCCACATTCAGTACCTGAAAATACCTAAACTTCCTCAATCTCTGGCAATACTGATTGAGATATAAAGAGAGGAGGTAAAAATAATCAGCACAAGAAATATTAAAGACATCAAGTAATTCCTTCTGATGGTAGTACTGCCAACTACTCTCTGCCAATAAACTTGAAAACTTAGGTGAAATGGAAAAATTTCTAAAATACTGCAATATCAAAAAATATGGTAAATCTGAATAGTCCTATATTTATTAAAGAAGTTAAATCTATTACTAAGTACCTTCACACACTTCCAAGAGTAGATGACTTCACTTACACATTTTACCAAGCATTTTAGGGGCAAATTGCTGGTTTTGTAGACATTTTTCCCAGAAAACAGAAGGGGGAGTCAATGAGGTCCCTATATAATCTAGATTCTGTTAAGTATAACCAGCATTTCTGTTGGAAATGTTTTGGAAAAGATGACTGCATGTCCTTTTAATGTTATTCTACAGTATTGTTGAACAGGGCCACTCAAGGAATATTTAATTCTCTAGGAGATGCACTTTCGTTTCACTTACTATTTACTGATTATAGCCTACACTCTGTGAAGTTACTTATGAATATATAGATTTTGTCAAGTAAGGATGTAAATATTTTATGTCAAGTAGAAAAGATAACCCCAAAAGTTATAATTTTATCACCCTGTAGGGCATTAATTCATCAATCTTATTCTAGAGTTATTTCATTACATATATATCTTCTCTCACATTGTCTTGGACCAGCTTTACTCAGTGGGTGAGATCAGTCTTTACTGATGTTGAATATATGTTCAATCTATATTTGCATTAGAGTCATGTTTCTAAGTTTTAAAAATATACTTGGAAATAATAAAACCTGATCATGCCAGGAAGAAATAGGAACATTATAAATCAGTCTCATTCATGAACATAGATTTAAAAATCTTAAAAAATTATCGAGTAGTATCTGGTGATATATAACATGAATAATATATCCAAATTAGGTTATTCTAGGGATGCAAGATTAACTTAACACATGAAAATTAGTCAATTACCTTACCATATTAACAGAATAATACAGACAACCACGCATAATCATGTGCAATAGATAACAACAAACATTATGCTTCGGTGGAAAATGATGGTAAAGCTTTTCATTTGAGTTTAGAGACAAGATAAAGATGATGGAAATGACTGCTTGTATTCAACCAGTGGAATGGGCAAGAAAAATAAATAAATGTATAAATTAGGGAAAGGAAGAAATAAAACTATCATTATTTGCGGTTATGACTCTATAAATAGTGCAAAACAAATCTACAGAGATGTTCTTAGAATTAATACTGAGATCGATAAGGTTTCTGGATACGAGGTTAATTTACAAATTAATTTTATCTGTGTATAGCAAGAAATAGAAAGTGAATGAGGCTGCCTTCCACTTTCATGTCAAGTGACTTTGGGCATATCTTCTAACTTCTATTGTCTTAGTTCACTCATCTATAAAATATGGATGATAATACTATATTCTACTGATTTTATTTTTTCCATATTTTAACATCTTTGATTAATTGTATTCTGTATTTTAACATATATGCCATATTTTTTCCTAGTCAACCATAAAAAACATTTTCCTCCCCAAAATGGCTGTCTTCTCTAATAGTTTCCCAAAGGCAAAGAGGATTAAAGTCATTTTAGAAATATGATTCCCACTGTTTTAAAAGTAATTCCCCAGGATTAGGTCCAAAGGTAGTTCAAATTCAGTTTAAGATAAGAACTAGTATTTGCTTATATTTTTGCACATTCTTTAACTGTGGCCTAATATATAAATAAAGAATTTTCTACCTTCATTGTAGCTGAATAAAGTTATTCAGTTAGACAGAGTATGGAGTCCAGTTACCTACTTTTTATTTTGTTTATAATTTAAACCGTGGTCCACAAACATGGAAATACAATGTATTATATCATATGCTATTTTACTCTTTTTTTATTCAATTTTATATCTGTCATTTGGTCATTTAACTGAAGATCTAATGAGAGAATATAAAATCCTTTTGGAATCTAGCATTTTTTGTAACATCCTTTTAAGTCTCTCCTGAATGGTTTCCTAAAAGAACAGGGGATGGTAATTGAGTCTTTCCTGAGAGCTTTTTAAACACAGCTTGCACTTAACTGGAGACATTCCTTATTCAGGTCATATACTTATGTATATTTTGAATTTTTTGGTTAAGACTTTTGACCCAAGCCTAATTATAAACTAAGGGTCAGTTCTATTGTGTATAATGAGGCTTTCAGCTTGGAACAAATATTTTTCTAAAGGCAGAGAACATTTTTAAATGGATTTAGGATCAGCAATTCACATTTCCTCTTTGAACTTAATGTATGTCCTGCCAATCCTTTTTCTTTCTAGTCTGGCTTCTCTTTATCATCAGTGGTAATCATAAACTTCTGAAAAAGAAAGACATTTTTTAATAAAACATAGACTTGATGTTTCAAACTTATCTTAATTGACTACTTCAGGTTTAATTACAAGTTGTTTAACTTGCCTTAAAAACACATAACTGTTATTAAACATGAAGGGTAATGAATGCTTATCCAGAGAAAACCTAGATCAATCAGTTTAGTCCCACTGATGTTAGTTGAGTGGCCTCCTTTGTGCAAAGCTTCCTGCCTTCCTCATTTTTTTCCTAGTAACATCATATTTTCACATGTGAAACAAATGTTAGATAGTGCTTTAAATATCATATTTCCTTATTTTTAATTAGATTTACTTGGGCCTTGTTTGGCATATTTTTACAGTTTTTCTACAAGACTACATTATAAAGTTAATGAGAGATTATTTTTCTCTTATTGACTGCTAACAGTACAGTGTATACAATGTCACCAAATCCAACGTTTAGTAGGCACTCAATAAATATTTGTTAAGTTAGCCTTTAAACTTGTTAAAGGATAAATTATTTATCTAAGAATCATCTTCTAAAGTAGTCTATTCATTGCCACATTTATAAAGTAGTTACGGAATCATGAGGCAATATATAATAGGAAATAAGACAATGATGTACCTAGAAAGACATCATGGACTTTTGTGTGGTATTCATAGAAGCAACATCATCTCTTTTTACTTTGTGTGTATATGTAACTATGCACCCTAACTATACATTAGGGTGATTATTTAAGAATAAAGTGAACATACTAGAGATAACTCATTGGTGAATGTGGAATCATAAAGTCAAAATCATTCTGAATTGCTTAGTAGGGATTTTAAATAAAATAATATTGGATATTTAAGGACTTTACCTGGTAATAATTTAAATGAAAACAATATTCAATTCATTACAAAAATGTATTTTAAGAATTAAGGCACAAATACAGATAAGATATGAGTTTTGCCTTGGCAATGTATTATTTGTTAAGATATCTTACATTTTGTTGTATTTCATCTAATATTGATGTGAACATTGACTAGATAGTTGATAATATTAAGGAATTATTATTTTTAAGTGTGACAATGGTATTCTAGGTATATTCAAAAAGAAATAGAGTTCCCTAGCTTTACTTACTGAAATATATATGGATGACATGCTATGAAATCTGGAATTTGCTTCAATACAATCACAGTGAGGGTAAGAAGAAGTGGGTGAAAGTATAGATGAGAAAGAATAGCTTTGAACTGATCGTTATTAAAGCCAGTTTCAGGACTACTACAGAGAGCTGAGTTCTCATTTGATATCTTAAAGAATAAAATAAGATAACCCATGAATTAATGAACCTCCTCTTAAAATTATAAAGAAAAACAGACCTGATGAAGATGAATTAATTACCTTAGTTTTCTAAATTCTCTAAATTATTGGCTAGTTTTACAGGAAAATATTGAACATTTTTTCTAATCTTCTTATTATGAAAACCCATCTAATAACAACACTATGTTTTGATATGAAAATCCAGTTTAAAACCCACTTAGAAACCACTTTGGAGGGGCCAACATGGCCAATTAGAAGCAGCTGCAGTCCATGGCACCATCAGAGAGGAATGAAAGCTTTGAGTGAATTTAGCACCTTCAACTGAAATATCCAGGTTCTTGCATTGGGACTGACTAAGAAAACAACTCAACCTACGGAGAAAGAAGAAAAGCAGGGTGGAACAACAGCCCACCCGGGAGCAGCATGGAGCCAAAGGAACTGCCACCCCTAGCCAAGGGAAGCAGTGAGTGATTGTGTGGCCCTGCCTAGGAAACCACACTTATCTCATGGATCTTTGCAACCCATAGATCAGGAGATCTCCTTGTGAGCCCACACTACCAGAGACTTGCGTCTGATACACAGAACTGTGTGAAGTCTTGGCAGAGCAGCCACTCACGCACATACAGAGAACCAGGAATTATACATATTCTGGTCCCGGGATCTCCAGCAAAGCAAGAGATCCATCCATACATATCCCTAGGAAGAGGGTGAACCCAGGGAGCCAAGCAGCATCATTCTGAGGGCCCCACTTCCACAGCACCTCACAAGTTAAGACTCACTGGCTTGCAATTCCAGCCAGTCAATGGCAACAGGCTGGAGTCTGCCTGAGATGGGACCGAGTTCCTGTGGTGAGGGGCAGCTACCATCTCTGCAGTTTGGTCCAGTCAGCCATTCCAGCCTGCTGGCTTTGGAGAATACAAATGGTCCAGATGAGGAAGGGTGCCCCCCAGTGCAGCACACCTGCTCTGCCAAAAAGCAGCCAGGCTGCTTCTTTAAGCAGGTCCCTGATCCTGTTCCTACTGACTGGGTGAGACCTCCCAAAAGGGATCTCCAGCCACCTCCTACAAGCGTGTTTGGAACAGCGACAGGTCAGTACCCCCCTGGGACAGAGCTTTCAGAGGAAGGAGCAGGCTGACAGCTTTACTGTTTCTCAGCCTTCACTGGTGATGCCTCCAGGCACAAGAAAAATGAGGCAACTAGAGTCTGGAGTGGACCCCCAGCAAACCACAGCAGCTCTGTGGAAGAGTAGCCTGACTGTTAAAAGAAAAACAAACAGAAAAAACAACATCAACAAAAAAGACCCAATAAAAACACCATTCAAACATCAGCAACCTCAAAGATCAAAGGAAAATAAGCCCACAAAGATGAGAAAGAATCAATGCAAAAACACTGAAAACTAAAAATGCCAGAGGACCTCTTCTCCAAATGACTGCAACACCACTCCAGCAAGGGCACAGAACTGGGCTGAGGCTGAGATAGCTGAATTAATAGAAGTAGGCTTCAGAAGGTGGGTAATAATGAACTTAACTGAGCTAAAAGAGCATGAAATATTCTTTCATTTCTAAGAATAATGAAAAAACAGTACAGGAGCTGATAGCCAGAATAGCCATTCTGGAGAGGAACATAACCAACTTGATGGAGCTGAAAAACAACATGAGAACTACACAATGCAATCACAAGTATCAATAGCAGAATAGACTGAGCGGAGGAAAGAATCTCAGAGTTTGAAGACGATCTTCCTGAAATCACACAGGCAGATAAGAATAGAGAAAAAAGAATAAAAAGGAATGAACAAAACCTCCAAGAATTATGGAATTATGTTAAGAGACCAAACTATTGATCAGGGTACCCATAAAAGACAGGGAGAATGGAACCAAGGTGGAAAATATACTTCAGAATATCCTCCAGGAGAACTTCCCCAACCTAGTAAGACAGGCCAACATTCAAATTCAGGAAATGCAGAGAACCACAGTAAGATACTCCATGAGAAGATCAATCCCCAGACACATAATCATCAGATTCTTGAAGTTCAAAATGAAAGAAAAAATGTCAAGGGCAGCCAGAGAGAAAGGCCAGGTCACCTACAAAGGGAAGCCCATCAAACTAACAGCAGACCTCTCAGTAGAAACCCCACAAGCCAGAAGAGATTGGGGCGAATATTCAACATTCTTAAAGAAAAGAATTTCCAACCCAGAATTTTATATCCAGCCAAACTAAGCTTCATAAGCAAAAGAGAAATAAGATTCTTTTCAGACAAACACATGCTGAGGGAGTTTGTCACTACCAGGTTTGCCTTGCAAGAGCTCCTGAAGGATGTATTAAATACAGAAAGAAAAAACTGTTACCAGCCACTACAAAAACACAATGAAGTACACAGACTAGTGACACTATGAAGCAACCACATAAACAAGCCTGCAAAATAACCAGCTAGCTTCATGATGACAGGATCAAATTCATACATAACAATACTAACTTTAAATGTAAATGGGCTAAATACCCTAATTTAAAGACACAGAATGGCAAGTTGGACAAACAGCCAAGACCCATCAATGTGCTGTCTTCAAGAGATCCATCTCGCCTACAGAAACACAAATAGGCTCAAAATAAAGGAATGGAGGAAAATTTACCAAGTAAATGGAAAACCAAAAAACTCAGGGGTTGCAATCCTAGTTTCTAACAAAACAGACTTTAAACCAACAAAGATCAAAAAACACAAAGAAGGGCATTACATAATGGTAAAGGGTTTGATTCAACAAGAAAATCTAACTGTGCTAAACATATATGCACCCAACAAAGGGGCATCCAGATTCATAAAGCAATTTATTAGAGACCTCAGAGGGACAGACTCCCACACAATAATAGTGGGAGACTTTAACACCCCACTGACAATATTACACAGATCATTGAGACAGAAAATTAACAATGATAGCCAGGACCTGAACTCAGCTGTGGACTAAGTGGACTTGATAGATATCTACAAAACTCTTCACCTAAAAACAACAGAATGTACATCTTATGACCACACAACACTTACTCTAAAGTTGATCACATAATCGGAAGTAAAACACCCCTCAGCAAATTCAAAAGAACTAAAGTCATAAAAAACAGTCTCTCCAACCACAGCACAATCAAATTAGAATTTGGGATTAAGAAATTTACTCAAAACCACACAAAACTACATGGATATTGTACAACCTGCTCCTGAATGACTCTTGGATAAGTAATGAAATTAGGCTGGACATGGTGACTCACACCTGTAATCCTAGCAATTTGGGAGGTCAAGGCAGGCAGATGACCTGAAGTTAGGAGTTCGAGACGAGCCTGGCCAACATGATGAAACTCCATTTCTACTAAAAACACAAAAATTAGCCAGGTGTGGTGGCACATGCCTATAATCCCAGCTACTAGGGAGGCTGAAGCAGGAGAATTGCTGGAATCCAGGAGGCAGAGGTTGCAGTGAGTCGAGATCACGCCACTGCACTCCGGCCTGGGTGACAGAGCGAAACTCCATCTCAAATAATAATAATAATAATAATAATAATGAAATTAAGGCAGAAATGAAGAAGTTCTTTGAAACTAATGAGAACAAAGAGACAATGTATCAGAATCTCTGGGATGCAGCTAAAACAGTGTTAAGAGGGAAATTTATATATTTATTTATATATATATTTTTTATTATACTTTAAGTTCTAGGGTACATATGCACAACGTGCAGGTTTGTTACATATGTATGCATGTGCCATGTTGCTGTGCTGCACCCATTAACTCGTCATTTACATTAGGTGTATCTCCTAATGCTATCCCCCACCCGCTACCCCCACCCCACAACAGGCCCCAGTGTGTGATGTTCCCCTTCCTGTGTCCAAGTGTTCTCATTGTTCAATTCCCACCTATGACTGAGAACATGCAGTGTTTGGTTTTTTGTCCTTGTGATAGTTTGCTGAGAATGATGGTTTCCAATTTCATCCATGTCCCTACAAAGGACATGAACTCATCATTTTTTATGGCTGCATAGTATTCCATGGTGTATATGTGCCACATTTTCTTAATCCAGTCTATCATTGTCAGACATTTGAGTTGGTTCCAAGTCTTTGCTATTGTGAATAGTGCCGCAATAAACATACGTGTGCATGTGTCTTTATGGCAGCATGATTTATAATCCTTTGGGTATATACCCAGTAATGGGATGGCTGGGTCAAATGGTATTTCTAGTTCTAGATCCCTGAGGAATCGCCACACTGACTTCCACAATGGTTGAACTAGTTTACAGTCCCACCAATAGTGTAAAAGTGTTCCTATTTCTCCACATCCTCTCCAGCACCTGTTGTTTCCTGACTTTTTAATGATTGCCATTCTAACTGGTGTGAGATGGTATCTCATTGTGGTTTCGATTTGTATTACTCTGATGGCCAGTGATGGTGAGCATTCTTTCATCTGTTTTTTGGCTGCATAAATGTCTTCTTTTGAGAAGTGTCTGTTCATGTCCTTCGCCCACTTTTTGATGGGGTTGTTTGTTTTTTTCTTGTAAATTTGTTTGAGTTCATTGTAGATTCTAGATATTAGCCCTTTGTCAGATGAGTAGGTTGCGAAAATTTTCTCCCATTTTGTAGGTTGCCTGTTCACTCTGATGGTAGTTTCTTTTGCTGTGCAGAAGCTCTTTAGTTTAATTAGATCCCATTTGTCAGTTTTGGCTTTTGTTGCCATTGCTTTTGGTGTTTTAGATGTGAAGTCCTTGCCCATGCCTATGTCCTGAATGGTAATGCCTAGGTTTTCTTCTAGGGTTTTTATGGTTTTAGGTCTAATGTTTAAGTCTTTAATCCATCTTGAATTAATTTTTGTATAAGGTGTAAGGAAGGGATCCGGTTTCAGCTTTCTACAATGGCTAGCCAGTTTTCCCAGCACCATTTATTAAATAGGGAATCCTTTCCCCATTGCTTGTTTTTCTCAGGTTTGTCAAAGATCAGATAGTTGTAGATATGTGGCATTATTTCTGAGGGCTCTGTTCTGTTCCATTGGTCTATATCTCTGTTTTGGTACCAGTAGCATGCTGTTTTGGTTACTGTAGCCTTGTAGTATAGTTTGAAGTCAGGTAGTGTGATACCTCCAGCTTTGTTCTTTTGGCTTCGGATTGACTTGGCGATGCAGGCTCTTTTTTGGTTCCACATGAACTTTAAAGTAGTTTTTTCCAATTCTGTGAAGAAAGTCATTGGTAGCTTGATGGGGATGGCATTGAATCTATAAATTACCTTGGGCAGTATAGCCATTTTCATGATATTGATTCCTCCTACCCATGAGCATGGAATATTCTTCCATTTGTTTGTATCCTGTTTTATTTCATTGAGCAGAGGTTTGTAGTTCTCCTTGAAGAGGTCCTTCACGTCCCTTGTAAGTTGGATTCCTAGGTATTTTATTCTCTTTGAAGCCATTGTGAATGGGAGTTCACTCATGATTTGGCTCTCTGTTTGTCTGTTATTGGTGTATAAGAATGATAGACCGCTAGCAAGACTAATAAAGAAAAAAAGAGAGAAGAATCAAATAGATGCAATAAAAAATGATAAAGGGGGTATCACCACCATTCCCACAGAAATACAAACTACCATCAGAGAATACTACAAACACCTCTATGCAAATAAACTAGAAAATCGAAAAGAAATGGATAAATTCCTGGACACATACACTCTCCCAAGACTAAACCAGGAAGAAGTTGAATCTCTGAATAGACCAATAACAGGATCTGAAATTGTGGCATTAATCAATAGCTTACCAACCAAAAAGAGTCCAGGACCAGATGGATTCACAGCCGAATTCTGCCAGAGGTACAAGGAGGAACTGGTACCATTCCTTCTGAAACTATTCCAATCAATAGAAAAAGAGGGAATCCTCCCTAACTCATTTTATGAGGCCAGCATCATCCTGATACCAAAGCCAGGCAGAGACACAACCAAAAAAGAGAATTTTAGACCAATATCCTTGATGAACATTGATGCAAAAATCCTCAATAAAATACTGGCAAACCAAATCCAGCAGCACATCAAAAAGCTTATCCACCATGATCAAGTGGGCTTCATCCCTGGGATGCAAGGCTGTTTCAATATACGCAAATCAATAAATGTAATCCAGCATATAAACAGAACCAAAGACAAAAGCCACATGATTATCTCAATGGATGCAGAAAAGGCCTTTGACAAAATTCAACAACTCTTCATGCTAAAAACACTCAATAAATTAGGTATTGATGGGACATATCTCAAAATAATAAGAGCTATCTATGACAAACCCACAGCCAGTATCATACTGAATGGGCAAAAACTGGAAGCATTCCCTTTGAAAACTGGCACACAGCTGAAAACCATGGCACAAGAACTACGTGATGAATGCACAACCTTCAGTAGCCGATTTGATCAACTGGAAGAAAGGGTATCAGTGACGGAAGATCAAATGAATGAAATGAAGTGAAAAGAGAAGTTTAGAGAAAAAAGAATGAAAAGAAATGAACAAAGCCTCCAAGAAATATGGGACTATGTGACAAGACCAAATCTTCGTCTGATTGGTGTACCTGAAAGTGATGGGGAGAATGGAACCAAGTTGGAAAACACTCTGCAGGATATTATCCAGGAGAACTTCCCCAATCTAGCAGTGTGCAAAAATTGCTGACATTCCTATACACCAACAACAGGCAAGCAGAGAGCTAAATCTTGAATGAACTCCCATTCACAATTGCTACAAAAAGAATAAAATACCTAGAAATACAGCTAGCAAGGGAAGTGAAGAATCTCTTCAAGAAGAACTAGAAACTACTGCTCAAAGAAATCAGAGGACACAAATGGATAAAGATTCAGTGCTCATGGATAGGAAGAATCAATATCATGAACTGGTCATACTACCCAAAGTAATTTATAGATTCAATGCTATTCCCATTAAACTACCATTGACATTCTTCACAGAATTAGAAGAAACTATTTAAAAATTCATATGGAACCAAAACACAGGCCAAAGAGCCAAGACAATCATAAGCAAAAAGAACAAAGCTGGAGGCATTGTGCTATACAACTTCCAACTATACTACAAGACCACAGTAACCAAAACATCATGGGACTGGTACAAGAACAGACACATAGACCAATGGAATCGAACAGAGAACTCAGAAATAAGTCTGCACACATACAATCATCTGATCTTTGACAAAAACAAGCAATGGGGAAAGCATTCCCTATTTAATAAATGATCCTGGGAGAACTGGCTAGCCATATGCAGAAAATTGAAACTGGACCCCTTCCTTATACCGTGTACAAAAACTAACTCAAGATGGATTAATGACTTAAATGCAAAACCCAAAACTATAAAAACCCTTGAAGAAACCTAGGCGTATCATTCAGGACATAGGCATGGGCAAAGATTTTATGACAAAGATAACAAAAGCAAAAATTGACAAATGGGATCTAATTAAACTAAAGAGCATAGCAGAAAAATAAAATAAAATAAAAAATAAAAAAACTATCAACAAAGTAAACAGACAACCTACAGAATGGGAGGAAATTTTTGCAATCTTTTCATCTGGCAAAGGCCTAATATACAGAGTCTACAAGGAACTTAAATTTACAGGAAATAACCCCATTAAAAAGTGGGCAAAGGACATGAACAGACCCATACCAAAAGAAGGCATACATGCAGCCAACAAACATATGTAAAAAAGCTCAACATCATTGATCATTAGAGAAATGCAAATCAAAACCACAGTGAAATACCATCTCATGCCATTCAGAATGGTTATTATTAAAAAGTCAAAAAACAAGAGATACTGGCAAGGTTGTGGAGAAAAAGGAATGCTTTTACACTGTTGGTGAGAGTGTAAATTAGTTCAACCATTGTTGAATACGGTGTGGCAATTTCTCAAAGACCTAGAGGCAGAAATACCATTTGACCCAGCAATACCATTACTGAGTATATACCCAAAGGAATATAAATTATTATAAAGATACATGCACACATAGGTTCATTGCAGCACAATTCACAATAGCAAAGACATGGAATCAGCTTAAATGCCCATCAGTGAAAGACTGGATAAAGAAAATCTGGTACATATACACCGTGGAATACTGTGCAGCCATAAAAAAAGAACAAAATCTTGTCCTTTGCAGGGACATGGATGATGTTGGAAGCCATTATCCTCAGCAAACTAACATAGGAACAGAAAAACCAAACACTGCATGTTCTTATTTGTAAGTGGGAGCTGAATGATGAGAACACATGGACACGTGGTGGGGAACAACACACACAGGGGCCTATTGGGGGCATGGGGTAGGGGTAGGGAAAGCATTAGGAAGAATACCTAATGGATGCTGCACTTAATACCTAGGTGATGGGATGATCTGTGCAGCAAACCACCATGGCACACATTTACCTATGTTACAAACCTGCACATCCTGCACATTTACCCCTGAACTTAAAATAAAAGTAGAAGAAAAGAAAAAAAGAAATGACTTTGAAAAACTGGAAGAAAATATACTTTATTTTGCTATCATAATATACAAGTTTATCTTCAAGCTATATTTTTGTGTATGTACCTATTTTAAACCGAACTTAATTAGAAATTCAAGGGTATTAGAATTAATTGATGCAAGTTGATCTTTAAGGTATCTTTAGATCATTTTTACCTTTTTTTAAAAAATGTTTCTTTTTGACCTGAAATTGGCAGAATCTTATGTAAGTATCCTTCCCTCTTCCATTTTTAAATACAAATTTAGAGGACTTTGAAAAATTAAAAATGGACATCCGTGGCCTGTTTGGTGCCCATTAGATCCTTAAGAGTATTTAGATCCGTGTTTGGTTTTCTGTTCCTATGTTAGTTTGCTGGATAATGGCTTCCAATTCCATCCATGTCCCTGCAAAGGACAAGATCTTGTTCTTCTTTATGGCTGCATAGTACTCCATGGTGTATATGTACCACATTTTCTTTATCCAGTCTATCACTAATGGGCATTTAGGTTGATTCCATGTCTTTGCTATTGTGAATAGTGCTGCAGTGAACCTATGGGTGCATGTATCTTTATAATAGAATAATTTATATTCCTTCACATATATACTCAGTAATGAGACTGCTGGGTCAAATAGTATTTCTGCCTCTAGGTCTTTAAGGAATCACCACACTGTCTTCCACAATGGTTGACCTAATTTACACTCCCACCCAGAGTGTAATATGCAATAACAAATTTAACCCAGAATGAATATAAGTTTAATTTCTTACAGGTACGCTCAGTGCTTTAAGTTTCATCATGTATATTACTTTGGCCAGTTTTGGACAAGGTTATTAATTTATGTATTAACTAATTTATGTAATTGGAATCATTTATTAATTGTGCTAGCCTATTACTTTCTAATCATGGCCTGACGTTGCATGATCAACCCTTTTTCCTACTGGAGTATTTTAATTGATGCTTTTTTACTTTGTCTTTTCTTCCTATAATAGCTATATGATATTTTTCCCTTTTCTTTGAGCAATTCGTAGCCTAACTCTATGCCTTTTGTAGTATAATACTTTTGCTCCTTTGCATGATTGCAAGATACCAAGTATTCGTATCATTGCTGTGTGACTTCTGTTATTTTACGTGGTCATTGGCCACATTGCATCACCAATATCAATCTGTTTGCCATTCTCAGATATTGGTCTTTTTCATCAATAGATAAACTGCTCACTTTTTTAAGTTTTAGTTTCACTAAATTTAAATTGCACTTAACTTATTCAATTTCAGCTTTTTTTTTTTTTAGCTTCCTGATTCTCCATTTCTTATTCTGCTCACTAATCTTTTTCCTTCTTATTTGACATCCTCACACAAGCTGTGTATGGATAACTGCTCATTTGAAGTGAACTGTATGAGGATAACATCCTTTCTTTAACAAAGGAAGAGGACTGAAATGAAACTTCACCCCCCATCTGGAAATCTTTGACTCCCCTTCTACAAAACAGTGTATATTTGAATCAGTTATATTTTCTTTTTCTCCTTTATTGCTTTGTAGTGTAATTGTATGTGCATGCACATACAATTACAAACTTGTTATGACTCCTTACTTCGTAATTTAACAATAACATTAACTAATTATCGTCACTAACAGTACTGAGCATCTACTTTGAGATAGACACTCTTTTGAGGGCTCCATATGTTTTATATAATTTAATTCTAAATTACTAATTATTGAATATTACTAAGTACTGTCCTTGTCACCATTTTGCACACCTGGTAAGTTGCAGAGTGGGAATTCAAACATAGGCATCTGACCCCAAGGCCTGAGCTATTTTAACTGCAATAATATATGGCCTTTTAAAAAGTACAATTAAGACAATGTGTTCATGATGCTAAAACAACCAGTTGAAAAATGTGAAACTAATCCAAGCCAGATTGTTCTTTATTGAGATAAAAAGGAATAAAACTGATCAAATTATATTACTTTCCATTTAATTCATTCTGTAGTGCAGATGCAATGTGAAAATTGGTTGTCATAAATATTTTTTCTTTCTCTCTTTTAGCATCATTGGCTCCTTTTTTAACTTTCAAATTTATCCTTTTGCCTAATTTTTTCATTAATTTCTTCTGAAAACCCACTTACACTCACACACCAAAAATATGATAATTGGAAATGATATTGGTTATGTGAACATGTGAATTATTTTTATAAATTATTTTCTGATATTTTAAAATTTAGGAATAGAATACAAAAACTTTATGTTTATGAAGAGTCTTATCAATTTCCATCCTAGAAGCTGATTCGAAGCAATGTAAGGAGTTTTTGTAGCTGACTTGGCATCTGGAGCACAGGATTTTTGTCCTCCCATTGTGTGCTGTTGTCCTATCTATGGCTGCAGCTACAGTGGTGCCAAACAGTTTTGGACAGAATGACAATGCTCTACCAAAAGCTCTGGGCATACATTTCTCCATTCTTCTGCCTCAGAGCTTTCTCTGAAGCCAAAGGCGCTCCCTCAGCTCTTGTGTCAGGGAAGACTGGAAGGGTGAGGGACTTGCCACCACCTGCAGGAACCCTCAATAATGGAGACAGGACAGGATATTGAGAATAAAGGCACCAACCTGACATCCTTCGGATGAACAATTTTAGGGCACATTCTACAGAGTTCCTCAGAAAATCCCCAGTAGAATTGATCCTTGGCTGCCCAGATCATTAAACAACTCAATAGCATTATTGACTTTTCCTTCCCTGTCTCATTCTCCTCACTCTGCTTTCTGGGATTCATCTTTCAAAAAAATTACCAACATCCAAGTTCAAATGTTAGACTCTCTTTTGGGACAACCCAAACAAAGATAGGAATTTAAAATTAAATCTTCCAATAACTTATAGCACCCAGTGTTCTTTTGAATCCTGCATTTTAGTTTCAAATTTTCAATGGTACTCTAAAAATCTTTTTAGCCCTATGTACATGTTATGTGGTAGCATGATTTATCTGTTTCGGGAAGATGATAGATTTATGTATACCTGAAATGTACATTTAAATGCTTCAAGTCTATATTTTAATGTAAAAACTCTTGAACTTTGAGATCATTTAAACAGCATTTGTTACTGTATGTTTACCTTCTCTAACTATGCATAATTCACTTATTAAAACCCAGTGATAAAGGAAGGGACGTATTTCCTTAACTTGACATTTCATTCTACAGGATGTTATTTTTTCCAGGAATTCTGTTTTATGGGACTATATTAGGAAAGTGTTTATTTGACATCTGTCATTATAGGTCTCATTTACTGTTTTCTTTATTTTATCTTACTCTTCAAGGTCAAAAACCAATATATTCAAGGAAACCTCCCACCGCTTACCAGTGGACTAGCAGCATCTGAGCCACGTTTCTCTCATTCAGTGGAGAAAGCATGTTACATGCAGCTGCTTAAGCCTTTTCTTTTCTCCAAGGTGCTAATTTAGTTAGTATTTAGTGAGTAAGAAAATTGCTTTTTAAAACAGAAAATAAATTAACAGGTTTATTTATTTTTCTTTACTTTTATTCTTCCCAAAACCTGAATCTATAAATGTCTGGTATTAAATGATGTTTAATGATTAGCATTGACTGTCTGGTAATATGTATTTATTTAGAAATTCAAAAACATCAAGGTTGTAAAGAGAAAAAGTAAAACCTGAGGATTTGAAGTGTGTCAGAAACGTATTCTAAAGCTTTATGCAAATAACCAAGGCTCCTTTCTATAGTCAGGTCTCAGGTGCATATGTGTATGTATGCCGGGTAGGTTGTCTGCTTCCTAAAGTGCTTTTGTTAACACCATAATTTTAAATTAAGTTTTTCAGAAAGCTGTTCCTGCTGTACATTTTGGCATCTAAGATTAGGTCAGTGGCCATAAATCTCATTTATGTACTTAATGCAAAGGAGATATTGCTGTCTTGGGAATCACGTGAGCCAGATTCCTTACTTTGCCCCTCTTACAAGATATTGACATATAAAACAAAATGCTTCCATTTTGTTTTGCATCTTTCTTCATTTAAAACTTTAAATAAAGAATGTTTATTCAGGGTTCTTTTTCATTCATAAAAATGGAAATCACCCTTAGCGTCTGCATGAGTAGGCTTGTATTCTTGTTCACGTATTCGCATGATAGATTGGCCCATAAAATCTTCACATTTGGCTTGTGCAGCTGAGTTCATGGCTGAATACGGAATGATAAAGAAGCTTTAGCATTTTGTAGAAAGCAAAGAAATCATGCCTTCTAGATGGCCCTTAAGCTAGCTTTTAACTGCCTGGAAATCAAGTAGAAATATATAATGAAACTTGTCATTAAAACATAGTGTTTAGTGTAAATCTTTGGGGCATAATCTGTAAATTAATGCAAAAATTCTCTAGTATTTGTTTGGTTGTCATTATATTTGCATGGAAATCTGCCAATCCAAACATATTTTTTTTTAACCTTTCTATCCATCAGAAGTTAAAATAGAAATGATGGATTGTGTCACTGACCAGTCCAGCAGCCTATTTCTTTCAACACATTACTGTGTATTTACTGTTTTAGCTGTATTGTTTTCAATTTCTGGCACATAGTCAGTTTTTGATCCTGGGTAGAAAATGTCAGTGCTCACATTTCCTATGGGGTTTTGGCCTTTTTGTGAAAAGGTAGGGGAGAGCTAAGTGAATTACGATGCTGTCATCTGAAGAAACCACAATGTATTTCTTTCCCAAATTTTAGCAAGAACAGAACTGATCATCTGCTTGTACAAGCCTTTCCTTGAACTCTACCAGCAGTTCACTCAGGCTTCTCTGCCTGTTCTCTTTCATGCTGTGAGAATGTAGCATACAGAAGTCCTTTTAACCTTCCCTTTGCAAGGTTAATTGATTTAGTTAACCACAAGGAAGATAAATTTTGTCAAGGAATTTAGAAATCTAAATTTAGAAATTCAGGTATTTAGAATTTCACAACTAAGCTTAAATAATATTAAAATTAAAATAAGTTGCCTCAATGCAAATAGTTTATGGAGAATGCTTGTCTTTCATTAATTTATTGAAAACTGGCACCTCTCTCATCCACAGCTCTATTTCCCTGCATTCTATATACACACAAATGCTATCTGCTACTACCAGATACATTTGTGTATAATAATCTTAGAAATCAATACATTCTGAGTGTTAATAATAGCTAATACACATTGTAATTACCTGGTATTATAGATTATCATGCTTAAGTGTACCTCAATCACCATGAGTCTGTATCTTCTAATATCTTTTACTGACTGATATGGTTTGGTTCTGTGTCTCCACCCAAATCTCATCTTGAATTGTACTTCCATAATTCCCATGTGGGAGGGACCCAGTGGGAGATAATTGAATCATGGGGGCAGTTTCCCGCGTACTGTTCTTGCAGTAGTGAATAAGTCTTATGACATCTGATGATTTTATCAGGGGTTTCCGCTTTTGCATCTTCCTCATTCTCTCTCTGCCTGCTGCCATCCATGTAAGATGGGAGTTGCTCCTCCTTGCCTTCCACCATGATTGTGAGGCTTCCCCAGCCACGTGGAACTGTAAGTCCAATTAAACCTCTTTCTTTTGTAAACTGCCCAGTCTCTGGCAACTTATCAGCAGCATGAATGGACTAATACACTGACCCATAAGGAAGTGTCTTTGTTTGGACTAATGACATTATTTTCCTACCTATTTGGAACAATTCATTTAAAACTTCTCAATATTAAGAATTGTGACAAGGATTCTTCTTTAGTTTTACATAATTTCACATTATCTTTTTGGATAAATAATTTGAGTCTTTATTTCCTCGTAGTACCTTGTTCTCTTATCACCTTTTCTTCTTTTGGTCAGCCATATCCAGTCTTTCCATAACATTATTTAGCAATACTTTTAAAGCACCTACTCTGTGTCAAGTACTATGCTAGTTGCTGGATTTATTACAGAGAATAAAATAGACATTTTCTGTACTCACAACGTTTAGAGTCTAGCAGGGAAAATACATGTAATTATACAAAGTAGAGGAGAGAGAGAGAGAGACAAAAAGGGAAAGAGAAAGAAATACACCTAACTCAGATTTTTGCATTCCAGGTGTCAAAGGGGTTACCAGGTTAAGATGGCAGAAAGAAGGAGAAAAACGGGGCCTGTCAGGGATAATTAATAGCATTTTAAAGCCTAGGAGCAAGAGAAAGTATGATGACACAGAGGACCTGAAAATAGTGGTAGAGGCTATGATAGACTCTACCTTTTCACAATGAGGAAATATGGAGCTCATTAATTTATATATATATATAGGTTTGCCTGACTTCGTCCAAGTACATGGAAGTTTTGATGGTTCATGTTGCAGTGAAGATGAGTGAACTAAACAGAGAAGCTCTTACGTTGTAGAGGAGTTTAAATAAACAAGGTACAGTCATAGCATTATGCTGTTATAGCTGGAGGGTTTGCAATGTATTTGATCAGGAGTTAAGCAAATAACTAAAGAGTCAAGTGGTCATGGTATAAGTTGGTAAGTTTTGATATGGTGAGGTAGAGAGTCAAACTAGAGAGGGGCTGCTCACTCTAAAGTTACTCAAAATACTCTATTTATCTAACAAAGCATGGGCTTAAAACCTCTGAATCAACCCAACTGTCTTATTTCCTAGCTGAGGAAACCAAGGCCTAGAGAAGTTAGAGACCAAAGTCTCACAACAAGTGAGCAGCAAAGATGGGACTGGAACACGTCTCCTGACTTTCACTTCGCTCACTTGCTATTGTTTAAAGAACCTTTTCTAGAGGCCAGGCACGGTGGCACTTGGGGAGGCCGAGGTGGGCAGATCACGAGGTCAGCAGATAGAGACCATCCTGGCTAACATGGTGAAACCCCGTCTCTACTAAAAATACAAAAAATTAGCCAGGCATGGCAGCAGGCACCTGTGGTCCCAACTACTCAGGAGGCTGAGGCAGGAGAATGGTGTGAACCCAGGAGGCGGAGGTTGCAGTGAGCCAAGATTGCGTCACTGCACTCCAGCCTGGGGGACAGAATGAGACATGAGACTCCCTCTCAAAAAAAAAAAAAAAAAAAAGGAACCTTTTCTAGAAATTTTAGTCAGTACTTTTGGAGCAGAAAAATTATATTTGATTTCAGAAAGTCGATTTTAGGAAGCATTTACAAACTAGACTACAACTGCTAAGCAAGAACTAAAATGTTTAATATGCTGCAAAAGCTTGCAACATTACACATAATGTAACCAGTGTAGATTGCAGAATACAAGATTTGAATGATTAAGGCAGCTTCCTTATATGGAAATTTGGACATTTTATAGGGCCTTTGCACTTGTAGTTCTTCTCCCAAATGCTAGCATGGCTCACTTCTTCATGCCTCTTACATGTCACCTTCTCAGCAAGGTCTTTCCTGGCTACTCTATGAATGCCACACTCCCACTCTAATATTTCCTCTGCTGGTTCCTTGCCTTAAATGTCTGTTTAACACTCATCCCTGTCTAACATGGGATATATTTTACTTCTTTAGTTTTTCTTACTGTCTGTGATCCTCAGCTAGAATGCAGGTTCTTAGTGAGGTAGGGATGGGGAGGTAAAAATTCTGACATCCTGAAGGAACTTAGTAAGTATTTATTGAATACTACATAAAACACAAGTACTTTGTCACTTATAAGACTACTTACATGCCAGGCATGGTGGCTCATGCCTGTAATCACAGAACTTTGGGCAGCTGAGGTGGGAGGGTTGCTTGAACCCAGGAGTTTGAGACCAGCCTGGGCAATATAGCAAGACCCTATCTCTACAAAAAATTTTTTTAAAAATTAGCTGGGCACGGTGGTGCATGTCTGTAGTCCCTACTACTCAGGATGCTGAGGTAGGAGGATCGCTTGAACCTAGGAGGTTGAGGCTGCAGTAAATCACATTTGCACCACTGCACCCAGCCCAGGCAACAGAAAGACCCTGTCTCTTAAAAAAAAAATTCTTTTTAAATTTTAAAAGATTATTTGGCTAATTTTAAAAGAAACTAAAAGTAAAAACTGATTTATTAATTATGTATGTAACTTAGTATTTCCATATACAAAATTTGCAAAGACAATTGAGCTTTAATAGGTGGTTATATTTTGTATTTGACAAATAGAAATCAGTTTTGACAGTTTTCAAGAAAAATGATAATATGTTTATGCTGTTTTTATGTGTGGATATGAAAAAGTTCAATGTTAGAGGAGAGAATATAATAAAAAAGTAAAGGTAGACAGTAAGTTTACACATGTTCAAGTTCAGAAAACACTGACAATTTTCTAAACTCATAGTGCCAATTTCTACTTCCATCAGCAATGTATTGTTTTTGTTCCATATCTTTGTCAACAGTTGGTACTGTCGGGTTTTTAAAATTTTTTCTATTCTGATTGGTATATTGTGGTATCTTGTGTTGGTATTAGTTTGCATTTCCCTAATTACTACTGAGATTGAACTTCTTTCTGTATATTTATCTGCCGTTTTGTGTCTTGTCTATTTTTCTATTGTGTTATCTATCCTTTTTATTGATGTACATTATTTCTTTATATATTCTAGATATGAGAACTTTGTCAAATATTTTTGTTGGAGATATCTTTTCCCATTCTGTTGTTTGACTTTTCACTGTTTTAGTGGTATATTTTATGAGCAGAATTTGTCAATTTAGTGCAGTACAGTTTATTATTTTTCCCTTATGGTTAGTGTTTTCAATGTCCTCTTTAAGAAAACATTTACAAGTTCAAGGCCATGAAGAAATGTTATGATATCTTCTAGAAAGTTTATTGTTTACCTTCCAGATTTAGATCTACACTATCCTCCCTCCTCCACCCCCAGCTGATTTTTATGGATGGAGTGAGGTTAGGTTTAGCTTTTATGTTTTCCGCATGTACATACAATGGAATCAGCACTGTGGATGTAAAGGATAATTCTTTCTCCCGGGTTCTGCAGTGTTACCTTTCTCATAAATTAAGTATTCATACAACTGTGTCCCTTTCTCCAAACTCTTTTATCTGTTCCCTTGGTCTAATTGTCTATTTTTGTTCTAGTAACACAGTGTCTGAATTATAGTAGCTTTTAAGTAAGTCTTGATATTTAATAGAATAAGTTCTCCAGCTTTGTTCATTAGAATTATCTTGGTATTTTTTAACCCTTTGCATTTCCATGAATATTTTAGATTCAGTTTGTCAATTTGAATAAAAAAAAACCAGCTGGAATTCAGATTAGAAATGTATTAAACATATAAAGTAATTAGGGGAAAATGTCAAACTTCAAACTCTGAACAGTAAATACTTAATCACATGTGATGCTAAGGAACCTTCAAATCCAAAAAAGAGAAATCAAGGGCACCAAATGTAACAAACTCCTGTACTTTTTCCATCTTATTGTGATTTTTTGCACTGGGCTATGTAAAAATTCTTCAGCTCAATCTTCCAGCTCAATAAGCTGATGATTATATCTGTTCCTTCTGCTATTATCCCAAGTACTAAGATTCTGTTTTATTTAAACTTATAATTGTTTCACTTTCATAGCAGCCAGTTTTGTTAAGACAGACACATCTTCCCTAATTTATCTGATACTAATTATAATAATTTTATTTTGTTTCCCATATTAATTCAGTTTCCTAAAAGGTAAAATTCTTTTGTTTGTTGAGTTCAATGCCTCATGCCTCTTTTTTGTGCTTGTTTTGGTTTTCCTTCAATTTTGGTAATTATTGACTATCGGTTTATATTTATGGATAAGCATCTTGATTCCTGATTACTGCTATCTGCAATGTATGTTCTCACTTTCAGTGACAATCTTTTATGTCCTGGTCCTGAGTGCAGGCTCCAAATATAAGAGCTGTCTTTCGAAGATAGGGGAGAGGAAATGTTAGAAGTCGTAAGCGAACTGCTAGAAAGGACTGAGAACAACTTAAGTAACAATGTTATAAGACACAGTGGAAGGAAGGAGTGGTTTTGTATCTAAGTAACTGATGCACTTATCTGTATTATATTCTTCATCTTATTTTTGTTGAGTTTAAGAAAAATAGAGTTTATCTTTCCCTCCCATTCCTCCTGCTTCTCCAGTTAGCAATTTCTATTTGTAATTCTTTTGAAAGATGCCTTATAACTTTATGCAATACACTTATATCTCTACTAATATAGCATCTTCAGACACTCTCTATTGCTCTATTGTCCCCTAATATAAAGGGTGAGGAATTAGCTAAATTTTATTTGATGTCTACCATATGCTGGGCACTGTATTAACTCATTTATCCTCACAACAACCCTGAATTATGTACTATTATTATCCCCATTTTGCAGATGATGAAGCTGAGGCATCTAGAAGTTAACAAGGTCAAATTTACATAGCAAGCCAGTGGTGGGATACGCTCAAGCACACTGGCTTTGATGCCTCTGCTTTACCCTCTTTGCAATATGGCTTCTCTATAGGTCAGCAAAATACCTATATTATAACTCTATTATTGAAGGATTATATAAGAATATTAGGTACTTTTCTCAAGCTATTTAGCTATGAAATTTTAAATGAGAAATTTAAGTGTAGAAATTTGTCATATGTTATAAAATTATTTCCGGCAGAATTCTGATAGCAATGGTTCCTCAGTACTGATGCTTAGCAAATATGTATTGGATGAATTCTTGTGCTGCATTTAGTTATTTTATTAGTAATTGTGAAAAGAATTCCCCTGTACTGTTAAAGCAATTTGATGGCAGAATAACTTTAGAACATTAATCCTTACTTTTAAATGAATTCTCCTTGGGCAAACAATACATAAAGATGAAATGATCCAGCATAAAGTGAACAATAGGCTTTTATTAAAATGTCTAAATGTGGCAGTAACTAAAGAGGTCGGCTGGCAACTGCACTGTTTTGGAAAGCTACTGACTTTGGGAGCAAAGTGATGTTGACAAAGTCACCTCTACTGTTCAGATTTTGAAGTTTGATGACATCCTGTGTTCACTCTGTAAATAAAAATACCTTAAGAAAAAAAAAGGAAACAAAATGTTTTCCCCTCCTTCCCCAAATGGCACACTCTCTTGGCTGTAGTCCCATAAATATGTTCATTGAAACAAAACCAAAAATGTGTAAAGCCAGACATAAAACCAAAATTCTCTATAAGAAAGCTGACTTGAAGACATTCATAGAAAAGTGACATGTCTAAAGCCTCTTATACCTTAATAACATCATCCTTAAATAGATTTTTTAATGCCCTGTTCAGAATTTGACCTTAAGTTTTTAAAAATCCAATTTAATTACTTTATGTCTCCACTATATAAGATTTGAGAAGGATTAAAATCCATCTCAAAGTCATTCATGAGCATCGTCTTCATTTTTTCTTTTATTCTTTTATTTGTTGTTTAAGTAACATAATATTTGAATGAAAATGTTAAAAATTCTGTTCAAAGGCGTTGTTAAATTCCTTCTGAAAACTGAAGAGAGTTTTCCTTTTTTTTTATTCCTTCAATCAAGTAGGTATAACCTGAGATAAACATGATGTTCAGAGGCATATAATAGAGTTCAGAATATAAGAACAAGCTGATGATCAAGTAGTTTCCTACCAATCCAGGAAATGTCCCACAATACAGAACAGTTTGGAAAATATGGGAGAAAAATTAAGAGATATAGAGGAGAATTTAAGGAGGTCACACTTTCAAATAAATAGGAATAAATAGGTGGTGGTAGAAAAATAATTTTTGAAAATAGAAGAAAATTGTCCCTAGTTTTAAAAATATATGATTATTCAGATTAAAGCTCCCACCCAAAACTTGTTAGATGCTGTCAGGGTTATACTCTCCAACTCCAAAGAAAAAAGAGAAATGTAGTGATACAGAAAAGACAAGGAAAGGAAATTTTAAATAATATAGATATGACATGACCAAAAATTATTAGAAAATGGTCGTGAAACTGCCTTTGCAAAATTATGATAGTAAAAGAAATCTGACATAGTTGACTCCATTTTGCTTCTAACCTCCAAGCCATCCTTGGTCATTCCTAGGCGAAGGCCAAGCTAACCTTGGGAGGAATTTAGTTTATAGTTTAAAGCAATTATAACAATAGTCCCTCCCTAATCTAACCCTCCCCTTGCTTAGAGTCCAAAAACCTCCTTTGTAAGAATAGGATTATGGGAAGGGCTTCAGTGTGGCTAAAATGTAGGGATAGTGTCTATAATCCCTTACTGCTCAAGATATCATGTGGCCAGAGGTCACAAGATTTGTGACTTTTCCAATTATTCCTATAAATAACATCACTATGTAGAAGCTAAGATTGGTTTTTAAGATATTTTTCAGTCTGAGCCCACGTGGACCCATGACTTATGACTCAGCTGGTCCTGCAGCCCCACCGGAGGTAGACTCAGTGCATGAGGGCTATTTTCTACACCCTTGTGATTTCTTCCCCAGCCAATCAGCAACACCCATTTCCTGGCCCCCTGACCACTAAATTCTCCATAAAAACCCTAACCCCTGAGTCTTTGGAGAGACATATTTGAGTGATAACTTCAGTTCTCCTGTGTGGGCGAGGTTCCCGTCAGTTAAACTCTTTCTCTACTACAATGCCAGAATCTCAGTGAATTAATTTTGTCTGTGAAGTGGTTAGAAAGAACCCATCATGAAATTACAGTGGCAATACAAATTGAGAAGTGGGAAGAAACATGTCTATTCAGAGTCACCTCTAGATGAATGAAATAATATTAGGAGGACCTCTTTTAGAAAAATCCATAAAACTGCCCTTTTTCTTACCTTCTTATTGAAGTATTCCCACAGAGAAAAGAGCACAAATCAAGAATACAGCTTAATGAATGTTTACAAAGTGATCACACCTGTGTGACTATTACCAGAGTCAAGAAATAAACATTATCAAAACCACAGAAGTTCTCCCTTCTTTGTGCCCTTCACAGTCACTATTGCTCCCCTCTTACCAGAAGGTAACCACAGTTCTCACAATTAATACATAGATTATTAGTTTTGCTTGTTTTTGAACTATATCTAGATGAAAATATTTGGTATTTACTCCTATGTATTCTATTGTGCCTGGCCTCTTTTGAAACCACCTTTGCAAAATTATGACAGTAAGAGAAATATGACATAGTTGACTCCATCTTGCTTCTAGCCTTACAAGCTGGCTGTCTTCACTCTGTCCTTGGCATAGGCCAAGCTAACCATGGGAGGAATTTAGTTCATAGTTTAACCTTAAAGCAAGGGTGATGATAGCTCTCTCCAAAGCTAAACTGCCTTTGTAAACCTATTGAAAGACCACAAGATTAGGAAGGAAACTGAACTCTGCTAAAATGTAGGCATAGTTTCTATAATCCCTTACTGCCCAGAGGTCATCATGGGACCAGAGGTCACAAGATTTGTGACTTCCCCAGTTGCTCCTGTAGATAACATCACAATTGAAGAACCTAAGATTGGCCTTTTGAGGGTTTTCTTCAGACTTTTCCATTTCTGATGACCAGCTGACTCCACTCATACCCATGGAATTTAGGGAGACCCTTCAGAGAGAAGGTCAGGGTTCAGAAAACTGACTGAATATTTTGAGAGCTTTTATTTTTTTCTCCCTGCCAAAATTCCATTGAAATGACAGAAGAAATATAAAATAATAATAAATCTATAGCAACTTTAGAAAGCAGGGAAGAGTGCCATCAGCAGTGTGAGTTTTTGGAACGTATAAAAGAAATAGGATAAGGTGGATGGCCAATTACAACAAAGTTGACCCTGCAACTCCACGAAGAAGGAAAAGATTCTGCAAAACGAAAGGAACCATGAAAATAAGCCAAAGATTAACAACTGCAGGGAACTAGAAGGAATAGGCTGTGTCTGGGAAGCCAGCTATTTAATTATAGGGTAGTAAAACAATTGCACCAGCACTCTCCTTGCAAAGCAGTTGGCTTTCTTACATACGGGATAAAGCCACAAATATAGAAATCTAAATCTGATGTGGGAGATTCCCAAAGGAGCCTTTGATTGCGTAGAGTCTCCCCTGACTTATGGGCCCCAAAAGAGAAGGAAGTGTATACACTCAAAAGATATCCAACCATATAAGCCAGCTGACAGTGTGTCCAGAGCCCATGTAATCATCTACACCCTTGGAGCCAGGTGAACATTTTCACTTGAAATATATTCCAGCTAACAATATAAGAACCAGAGAGAGAGGCATCAAACTTAGCAAACAAAATAATATATCCTTTGGGAAAACAAAATTAAGTTGGGAAATAAATGAAATTTCAGAATTATTTTACTTAATATTTTTAGTGACATTCAAGCAGATAATATATCTGAAAAAAAAAGCCATGAAAATGAAATGATTCGTGATTTTTTAAAAATCAGTAGTTGGGCTGAAAAGTAGAAAGAACAAACTAAAGATCAGTTTAATGAACTGAAAGGCTGGACAGACTAATTTTCACATAGCTCCATGTAAAATGGCAAACAGGAAAAGAGTATAAGAATTTGTTATGCTTAACATCATTTCTTTTCCTTTTTGGGTTTTGCAAATTCTCTTGTAATTCTTTTGTCAGTCTTTCTTTCCCAATCTTGCTTTACATTTTCCAGAAATTTCTTACTGTTCTTGTATGTTGGTAGCATGCCTCTAACTTTGCAGAATTTCTAAAAATATGTTTTATTATATATTATTATAAATAAATATATGTAAGAAATACATATATTTCTTGAGATGGAATCTCACTCTGTCACCCAGGCTGGAGTGCAGTGGCTGATCTTGGCTCACTACAACATCCACCTTCCATGTTCAAGCAACTGTTGTGCCTCAGCCTTCTGAGTAGCTGGGATTATAGGCACGCACCAACACGCCTGGCTAATTTTTGTATTTTTAGTGGAGACGGGGTTTCTCCACGTTGGCCAGCCTGGTCTTGAACTCCAGGCCTCAGGCGATCCGTCTGCCTCGGCCTCCAGAAGTGCTGGGATTACAGGCATGACTCACCACGCTCAGCCTCTAAGAATATATTTTTAGATTTACCTTTCTACTGTCACTTCAGGACAATTTGGAAAGGGATGAGACATAAATACTTAAGTTCAATTGATCACCTTGAACCACAACAATATAATCTTAAGATTTTTTTTAATGCTTTTTTTTCAGCATCTACATTAAGGATACATATCATCTTAAGATTTGAGGGAAGAACCTTTCACATTCATTACCTTGGGGTTTTTTAATTTTCTTTTACATTTGGTTTATTTTTCAGAATGTGCATAGAAACCATGTTGCCAGAAGTACTTTCCTCAGTAGATTGCCTTGTCCACCAGAGTGACCTGAAGATTGGTGATGGTCTCTCTCCACTTAGAACAATCCTGCACATTCAGAGTATTTCTCACTAGGCACCTGCTAGCACTGGACAGTATAGTTAGTCTATGAAGGTTAGTAGACTTGCTTAAGGTTTCTTTGTTTTTGTGGCAACCAAGTAGGTGAAGTAAGTTGACCAGCTGGCTCTTTTTCAATAACAAAGTTTATAAATAAAAATGCATTCGTGATCTTGTGTGTATATTGACAGCTTTAAAATGCAAGACCTTGATTACAATCCTATGTAAAAATCCCATAAAATATATTTATATATGATTTCATCTAGAAAAAACTATTCCAAATACATTATACACATTTTTTAAAATAAATAAAAAATTTATTTTACAGTTTTTAACTGTGAAAATGATTCCTGGATCAGTTTCTGCAGTAGAAGACTTCTAGTGGTTCTTAGGTGTTGTAGTCTTAGTTTAGGCTATGAAGCAAAGATATTTGTTGTTTTTAGTTCTTGATTTCTAGCTTAATTAAATAGTGGTCAAAGAATGTACTTCATATGATTTTAGTTTCTTTAAATTCATTGAGGCTTGCTTTATGGCCTAGCACACAATCAATTTTGGAAACTGATTTATATGCACTTGTAAAGAATATGTATTCTCTTATCAATGTGTGCACTGTTATATATATGCCAATTAAGTAAAGTTTACTAAAAGTTTTCTTTAGATCTTCTATATCTTTGCTAATTTTTTCTTTATCAGTAACTGAGAGAGGTGGTTGTATGGATTTGTTTTCTCATTTAAGTTCTGTCAGATTTTGCTTTAGTTATTTGAAGATATGTGAAATCAAATTTAGAATTATTTTCTTTTCCTGGTGGATTTTCTTTTGCTACATGTTCCACTTCAATAATAAAATAACTATACCAACTTTCTTTTGCTTAATATTTCCATAGTATATCTTTTTCCACCTTTTTTATTTCTAACCTTTCTCTATCCTTGTATTTAAGGGATATGCCTTTTAAGCAACATCTGGTTGTACTTTTAATCCAGTTTGGAAATATTTGGGTTTTAATTGGAGCAATTGCTTTTAATATACTTACTGATATATTTGTGTTTATACTTATCCTCTATTTTCTGCCTCTCTCCTGTTATATGCTCCTTTTTTTTTCTTCTTTACAATATTTAAGTTAATTAGGCATTCTTCATTATTCTGTTCCCCCCTTTATTGGTTTATTAATTATACATTCATTTACTGTGTTTTACTGCATATGCTAAGGAATACAATATATTGCCTGGACTTATTACAACGTAATATAACTTTTCAGATATTTACATTTCTTGGACAATGCTAGGTCTGTAAAATATTTTAACTTTATTTATTACCATCCTTTGTGTTATTAATCATTTTAGTCCTATATATGTTTTAGCTCCCAGAAGACATAATAATTACTGTTTTTTACAATCAATAACCATTTATATTCACCCACATTTTTATTCTTTCTGTCATATTTCATTCCTTTCTGAATTTCTATGTATCCATTTGGAATCTTCTTTTTTTCTTTTTTTTTTTTGTCCAGCAGAACTCATGTTAGTATATATTTTAGTGAGAATATGCTGGTGAAAATTTTACATGCTTTTGTTAGTCTGGAAATGTCTTTATTTTGCCTTCTTGTTTGGAGAGTATCTTTCTTTCTTTCTTTCTTTCCTTCTTTTTCTCTCTCTCTTTCTTCCTCCCTCCCTCCTCTTTCTTTCTTTCTTTTTCTTTCCTTTTCTTTCTTTTTCTTTCCTTTTCTTTCTTTCTTTCTCTCTTTCTTTTTCTTTCCTTCTTTCTTTCTTTTTTCCTTCCTTCTTTCTCTCTTTCCTTCTTTCTTTCTCTCTCTCTCTCTTTCTTTCTTTCTTTTTTTCAGAGTCTCTCTCTGTCACCCAGGCTGGAGTGGTGCAGTGGCACAATCTCAGAACACTGCAACCTCCGCCTTCCAGGCTCAAGCAATCCTCCTGTCTCAGCCTCCCAAGTAGCTGGGACTACAGGCACATGCCACCACGCCTGGCTAATTTTTTGTATTTTTTGTAGAGATAGGGTTTCACCATGTTGCCCAGGCTTGTCTCAAACTCCTTGGCTCAAGCAATCTGCCTGCCTCAGCCTTACAAACAGCTGGGATTACAGGGTTGAGCCATTGTGCCCAGCCCTAGAGAGTTTTTTGCTGGGTATAAAATTCTAGAAAGACAGTTCTCTTTTGGCATCTTGAAGATATATTTCCATTGTCTGTCTTTTATTATTTCCATTAAGAAGTCAACCATAATTCTTACTGCTATACCTTTGAAGATAATGTATAGTTTTGCCATTTATCTGTTTTCTGGTTTTTTTCTTTGTCCTTTGTCTTTGGTTTTCATCAGTTTTACTGTGCTATACCTAGGTGCTGTTTTCTTTGCCCGCATGTCTTTCACTTCAGAAATTCTTTGCCTTTATTACTTACATTGTTCTGTCTTATTTTTTTCTCTTCTGCTCCCTCTGGGACTCTAATTAGATACACCTTTTTACCAGGCCTATATAGCTATAATCTTTTCAGTATTTCCATTCTTTTTACTCACCAAGTTTCAGCTTAAATACTTTCTGGCATTTCTTCTAAATCACTAAGCCTCTCTTCAGCTTCCAGTATTCTATTTAACCTATTTATTAAGTCCTTAGTTTCAGTGATTACATTTTTTTAAGTTTCAGGTTGCTTTTCAGTTCTTTTTTATACATTCCAGCCAGCTCTCTGGAATCTATAAATTATTCATCCTATCATCTATTTTTGACATATTAATCACATGTCTTTTTTAAAACAATTTTTTCTTGATGCATAACAGATGTCCATAGTTTTGGGGTACATGTAAATAATTTAATACATTCATATAATTTGTAGAGATCAAATCAGTATACTTGGAATATCTATCACCTTAACTTTTTTTAAGATTCTAGAAACACTTGAATTATTCTCTACTAACTATTTTGAAATGTACAATAAATTATTGTAAACTGTAGCCACCCTAATGATTTATCAAATACTAGGTCTTATTTCTTCTATTAAACCATGTATTTGTACCTATTAATCAATTTATCTTCATAGTTCCCTTCCCCCTACCCTTCCTGGCATCTAGTAACCACCAATCTACTCTATATCTTCTCAAGATCAACTTTTTTAGTTCCTACATTGAGTATGAACATGCATTACTTGTCTTTCTGGGCTTGGCTTATTTCACTTAATGTAGTGACTTCCAGTTCCATCCATGTTGCTGCAAATGACAGGATTTGGGCCTTTTTTGCAGCTGAATAATATTTCATTGTGTATCTATACCACATTTTCTTTATCCGTTCATCTGTTCATACACACTTAGGTTGATTCCATATTTTGACTATTGTGAATAATGCTGCAATAAACATGGGAGTGCAGATAGCTCTTTAACATATTGATTTCCTTTCTTTTGGATATATACCCAGTAGTGGAATTACTGGATCATATGGTAGTTCTATTTTTAGTTTTTTGAGAAACCTCTATACTGTTCTCCATAGTCACTCTGCTAATTTACATTCCCACCAACAGTGTATGAGGGTTCCCCTTTTCCACATCCTCACCAGCATCTGCTACTGCCTGTCTTTTTGACATAAACCATTTGGACCGGGGAGAGATAATATGTCACTGTTGCAAAGTAACTGCAGTTGCGGACTATGAATTTTAACCATTATAACTATGCTCAAACACATCTTTATTAATTAAAATAGGAACCATTACAATCAACACATTTTTGCCAATAAGAAATAAGTTTGTTTATTCCTATGGTGTAAAAGTTTGTGCTTTAGGATTCAACAAACTCTTGGAAAGCATTTTCTGCATTCTGCTGGTTGTGGAAGCATTTTCCCTGCAAAAGGTTGTCAAGATGTTTAAAGAAGTGGGAGCTGGTTGGTGAGAGGTCAGGTGAATACGGCGGTTGAGGCAAAACTTTGTAGCCCAATTCATTCAACTTTTGAAGTGTTGGTTGTGCGACATGAGGTCAGGTGTTGTCGTGAAGAACTGGGCCCTTTCTGTTGACCAATGCCAGCTTCAGGCATTGCAGTTTTTGGTTCATCTCATCAAGTTGCTGAGCATACGTCTCAGATGTAATCATTTCGCCAGGATTCAGAAAGCTGTAGTGGATCAGACCAGCAGCAGACCACCAAACAATGACCGTGACCTTTTTTTGGTGCAAGTTTGGCTGTAGGAAGTGGCTTTGGAGCTACTTCTCGGTTCAGACACTGAGCTGATCATCACCAGTTGTGGTATAAAATCCACTTTTCATCGCATGTCACAATCCCATCAAGAAATGGTTCATTGTTGCACAGAAAAAGAGAAGACGACACTTCAATACAATGATTTTTTTTATTTTTGCTAAGCTCTTAAGGCACCCACTTATCTAGCTTTTTCACCTTTCCAATTTGCTTCAAATACCAAATGACCATAGAATGGTTGACACTGAGTTCTTTGGCAACTTCTCGTGTAGTTGTTAGAAGATCAGCTTCAATGATTGCTCTCTGTTGTTGTCAACTTCCGACGGCTGGCCACTGTGCTCCTCATCTTCAAGGCTCTTGTCTCCTTTGTGAAACTTCTCGAACCACCACTGCACTGGACATTTGTTAGCAGTTCCCAGACCAAATGCGTTGTTGATGTTGCAAGTTGTCTCCGCTGCTTTATGACCGATTTTGAAGTCAAATAAGAAAATCACTCGAATTTGCTTTTTGTTTAACATCATTTCCATAGCCTAAAATAAACATAAAATATATATCAAGTAATAAGTCATTAGCAAAAAAAATGAGAAATATGCATTAAAATGATGTATGACATAACCACATGTATTTAAAAACGTATTCCAATATCAAATGGCAAATTTCAACAATGCTAAAACCACAATTACTTTTGCACCAACTTACATTTCTCTGATTACTGATATTGAGTATTTTTTCATATTTGTTGACCATTTGTATGTCCTCTTTTGAGAAATGTCTATTCAGAGCTCTTGACCATTTTTTTAATTTTCTTTTTTTTTTTTTGCTATTGAGTTGTTTGAGCTCCTTATATATTCTGGCTATTAATCCCTTGTATGATGGATAGGTTGCAATATTTTCTCCCATTCTGTGGGATGTCTCTTCACTCTATTGATTGTTGTCTTTGCTGTGCAGAAGCTTTTTAGCTTGACATGATCCCATTGGTCCATTTTTGCTTTGGTTGCCTGTGCTTTTGGTGTCTTACACAAAATAAATACTTGCCCAGACAAATGCCCTGGAGTCATTCTCCAATGTTTTCTTCTAGTAGTTTCATAGTTTCAGGTCTTAGATTTAAGTCTTAAGTCAATTTCGATTCAATTTTTGTGTATGAATAGCCCTGTGCACACACAACATGATTTTTTTTAGAAAAACCTAAAGATGCCACCAAAATAATGTTAGAACTGATAAATGAATTCAATAATTGCAGGATACAAAAATCAGTAGTGTTTATATACACCAACAACAAACAATCTGAGAAGAAAATCAAGGAAACAGTCTCATTTGCAATAGATACGAATAATATATAATACCTAGGAATCAATTTAACCAAAGAACTGAAAGATCTGTACAATAAAAAGTATAAAACACTGATGAAAGAAATTGAAGAGAAAACAAAAAGAAAAGATATTCCATGCTCATGGATTGGAAGAATTAATATTGTTAAAATGACAGTACTCCCCAAAGCAATTTACAGATTCGATGTAGTCCCTATCCAAATACCAAGGATGTTCTTCACAGAAATAGAAAAAAAAAAATCCTGAAATGTATATAAAACCATGAAAGACTCCAAGTGGCCGAAGCAATCCTGAGCCAAAAGAACAAAGCTAGAGACATTACACTACCTGATTTAAAAAAAAAAAAAAAATTTTTTTTTAAACTGAGTCTCACTCTGTAGCCCATACTGGAGTGTAGTGGTGTGATCTCACCTCACTGTAGCCTCTGCCTCCTAGGTTCAAGCCATTCTCCTGCCTCAGCCTTCCAAGTAGCTGGGATTACAGGCACCTGCCACCATACCCAGATAATTTTTTTTTTGTATTTTTAGTAGAGATGGGGTTTCACCATGTTGTCCAGGCTGATCTCAAACTCCTGACCTCAAGTGATCCACCCGCCTTAGCCTCCCAAAGTGCTGGGATTACAGGCATGAGCCATTGCGCCCAGCCTGACTTCAAAATTTACTACGAAGCTGTAGTAACCAAATCTACATGGTAGTGGTATAAAAACAAACACATAGACCAATGGAATAAGCTAGAGAACCCAGATATGAATCCCTACACTTAGAGCCAACTTATCTTTGACAAAGGCACCAAGAGCATACAATGAGGAAAGGACAGTCTCTCCAATGAATGATGCTGGGAAAACCAGATAACTATATGCAAAAGAAGGAAATAGAGTTCTTTTTAATTTTAGCAAATAATTTCAATAAATGAGTCACCTGTGGATCTGGGTTTTTTCCCCTCCTGTCCTGTTTTGTGTCATGTCTGTTATTCCTTTCTTTATTAATGCTGAATATTGTATTTGTTAAACTGTAGTGATTCTGGATAATGTTACTTCTCTCCATGAATCTGTTTGGCCAGCAGAGTGTTGGCAGATTATCTTAATTCTGGGACTCAATTACAGATTTCGTAATACTCAGCCTGCCTCTTGTTTATCTCTGCTTTTCCAGTTTGTGGACACCTGGATTCCCAGTTGAGATCCTGGGGTTTTTAATCAGAATCCCTCTCCCTTGGAGGTTTCTAAAATCTAGCTTTTGTCTCCATAGGACTGTGAGACTGTGGAAAAACCTTGCTCAGTCCTTCACTGGCTTTCTGCCTACCTTATTATACCCTTCTGTAATTCAATAATTGTACAAATCATTCAGCAAATAATTTCTTATTCTTCAGCTCATTTATCTTTTGGAAATGCATGCTTTATTGTTTGTACTAGGTTTTATAAAATAATTGCATGCGTCATAAAATGTATGCTTTTAAAATATAGTAGCTTTCCTTATCTCAGCATTTAAAAAAAGATGAAACTTCTTCATATAGTCTGTTTTCCCTGGTACCCAAGTAAAGTTTGTTTGTTTTTCCTGTTCTATTTTTTTTTTTTTTTTTTTTTTCATTTTCTTAACCAGGCTTCAGACTCTGTATCATTAAAGTAGTTATTCGTGTTTGGATAGTCATAAGATTATAAAATTTAGCGTTGGAAGGAACCTAAGACATCATCTACTGTTGGCTAACCTCCCACACAGTGCAGAAATGTTTTCTGCAGCATCCTTGGCATATGCTCATCCGGTCTCAATTTGGATATCTTCAGCAAAGGAGCTCATCATTTCCTGAAACAATCCATTCTGTTGGACAACTCTATTTTAAAAATCCTTATGTTGAGCTAAAATATGCCTCTTTGTAACTTATACTCATTTAATCATTGTTTCAAGTTTTCCTTCTGGAATAAGTCAAAACAAGAGAACATTTCAGATAACTGTACTTAAAGCAGATCTTAATGCCATTCCTGTCTCTCTCGCTCTCTGTGTGTATGTCTTTTTTTCTTTCTTGTCCCAAAGCATTGAACGTAAATTTCTAAACTTGGATTAATAGTCATAAGGAGGGCATCTATTTGGTAATAATTTTTAAATTAGCTTTATTGTAGACAAATTCCTCTGATATTTGAAGACAGAAATTTTTTTGTAATTATCTTGAATTATATTTTTGTATAGAAAAAAGAGTAAGAAGACTGCCATTTATTTTCAAAGATGGTACTGTATAACCACTTGTGGAGATGTAGAGGAAAAAAAGCAGTCTTCAGTTGCCAAGATGTGATTGAAATCTGAGGGGGTGCATTTTTGTTTTCAGTACTTGTAAATTGCCTTTAAAACCTGTTGTTTTTAAATTAATAATTACCATAATCATATGGCACCTAATGTTTATTGAGTACTACGTATAATTCATGTATCTTATCTCTCCTTTTAGACTGAATTCTCCGCTCAATAATAATTCTCCAATCTCTTTTAGTATAACTTATGATCTGGTTTTTTTGGGTTTTTTTTTTTGTTGTTGTTGTTGTTGTTTTTGAGGTGGCGTTTCACTCTTGTTGCCCAGGCTGGAGTGCAATGGAGTGATCTCGGCTCACTGCAACCTCCTCCTCCCGGGTTCAAGCGATTCTCCTGCCTCAGCCTTCTGAGTAGCTGGGATTACAGGCATGTGCCACCATGCCTGGATAATTTTTTTTTTTTTTGTATTTTTAGTAGAGATGGGGTTTCTCCATGTTGGTCAGGCTGGTCTCAAACTCCCGACCTCAGGTGATCCACCAACCTCGACCTCCCAAAGTGCTGGGATTACAGGCGTGAGCCACCACACTCGGCCAATTTATGATCTAAACAGAACAGTGAGCATTAAAGAAGGTACTATTAGTAATCAGAAGGTAGTATTAGTAATAGTCATTCTTTTTAAAGCTGAACTTCAGGTTATTCTATCAGCTAGTACTATTACACAGAAATTTATATATATGTGACATATTGTTTTGAGTAGTTCTAAAAGGCATTCATATAAGGTTATTATGTCCTGTCCTGTTTATGATTTAAGCTTCCACCTACATCCTAACCCCTTCTTCACGTTCATAATTGCAATGTAGTTTTGTAGGCAAAAATTGCTACTTTTTTTGTGACCTGCCAAAAGTGAAAAAAGATCCTCTTTTCTCGCCCCACTGTTCCTCAGGTAAAATGAGAGAAGCCACAGAGCATGCAAGGCTGGACTGCCTACCCTAGAACAGTCCCTTACTGGCCCTTTTTAAGATGTGCAAAAAGATGGAGTTTGAAGAGTTAAAGCTGTTGTAATTATAACCCTTAAATTTCCGGAGCCTGGTTAGAGGACAGCATGGGGAATGCCTAGTGCTTCAATTATTTTGCAAAAATGCCATTTTTGTGAAATGAATCCCACTGTCCCTAAAGAATATCCATTCTCGTTCTACGTGGTGTTCTCAATCTGGGCTACAAAATTAAGTGGTGCTGATGGATGAGTTTCATTCTGATTTAATTGGTCTGGAATGGGTTCTGGGTTTCCAAGTGATTCAAATGTTCACCTAAGTTTGAGTCACTGCTCTAAAACTACTGTGACACAGGGGGAAAAAAAAGTTTTCTTCTAGGCCCAAAAGTTGTGATTTCAAGAGCTGGCATAAGAAAAGTGCTACTGACAGCCAAAAAATGCACACAGGAGGATCCCACTGATTATAGATATTCACATTTCAAGATCACATCACTCTGAAACATCTGATTAATTCTAAAGGTAACTTTCAGAAATGTGCCAGGCACTTAAAAGTCAAAGGGATTTTATTTTTACCAAAAAATATGTCTTTTTAACCTCAACCTGTGAGGAATCACTTTTAAGATCACTGTTCAGAAAATAAACAACTTAATGAATTAGTTCCATTTTGCAACATTTCATACTCTAGAAATTTCATCAAAGAAATGATTGGCAAACTTTGAGGAAAATTGGTTCATCTAACTTCCTTTTGTTAGTAGAGGAGAAAAACAGCATGAAATACTTATTTCCCCCTATGCCTTTTCGCTCTTTAAAATGGGTTTAAGGCAGTTACTATGAATTCTGTCTCTAAGAAGGAAAGTTTCACACAACTAATTTTCATTAGGAGTGATATGAGATAATTATCATACAAACATGCTTCCTCTTTTTATGCTGTCTTTTCTAATTTATGCATTGCCACAATCAGTCATTCTACCTGTGCTAGCTCTAGGATGGGTTGAGGAAAATATTTTTTTCACTTGAATATTAAATATTCTCTTTCTTAATGACCTACTTCATCATGTCCTTTGCTCTGTTTTCTTTTCCTGATATCATTTTCTTTTCTGAGAAAATTATGTCTAAAAACGGTAACTGCCAAATTATGTTTGACCCATTGGTTAGGCATTTCTGATTCTAGCTGCTAGAATGGAATGAATCTTTTAGGAGCCAGCAGCTTAGCTCTCACACCAGACACTGGTCCAGAACACTGCCAGAAGGCTGCACTGCAATCAGACTTCAGTTGTGAGAGTTCTTAGTTTCCTCACGCTCCTCCCTCTGTGAAGTATATTTAGCTGAGCTTGTGCATATGACTTCAGTTCATAAAAAGTTTACAAGTGCAGCTGGAATGCTTAGCATCTGATTGTTACATAAATAAGCATTTGAGAATGTATGTAAACTTGACAGTGTTAGTACCAGATGTTCCAGTAACACAATAATGTACTTTGAATGTCCGTTCTCACTCTCAGCTTGTTTATTTTGGCAGTACTTCCTTATCTGCTAACTTTCAGATAAGCATATATTTGCTATCTCCATAGTGTTGATCCTCTTATTGTTACATTCAAATTACATTTATTATATTTAGTGTGTAGAAGTACAAATAACAGAAGCACTAAGACCTAAAATCATTTTTACATATGTCTCCTTAAAATACAAACTATCTCAGCTCCTAAATGTTTATGGCATATAAAGAAGAAAGAATCTTCTCTGGGTATAGGTATAAACTCATTTCGGTAGGAATTGTCTTTCCAATTATGGGTTATCCAAGTACTTTTTTTTTTCTTTTTGGCCACCAGGCACTTAAATTAAGAGATTTCTGTTACTGTAAAAATTCCCCTGCCTTCCTCAGGTCTTCCCCACCCCTCACCATACCTGACAATTGTTTTGTTTTGCTTGTTTTGGGAGGGTTACTTTATTTTATTTTTGGTTGGAAATAAAAATTGTATACATTTATGAGATACAATGTGATATTTTGCTATACATTTACATTGTGGAATGATTAAATCAAGCCAATTAACATATCCATCACCTCACATACTTTTTTGTGGTAAATCATAGAAGCTTTTGACATTCTAGAGGTTTTATTTATTTATTTATTTATTTATGCAGTGACAGGATCATAGCTGACTGCAGCCTCAACCTCCTGGGCTCAGGTGATTCTCCCACCTCACCTTCCTGAGTAGCAGGGACTACAGGCGCACGCCACCACATCCAGCTAATTTTTATATTTTTTGTAGAGAGGTTTCACCATGTTGCCCAGTCTGGTTTTGAACTCCTGGCCTCAAGCAATCCTCCCACCTCAGCCTCCCAAATTGCTGGGATTACAGGTGTGAGCCACCATGGCTGACCAGAAGTTTTTATTTCCTCAGAGGTTAATTGTGCAGTTATTTCAGACATGCGGAAAAGTAGCATGAATAAGAATGATACTAGAATGTTCACATATCTATATATTTTGTACCATCATTCACCTGTTGCTGACATTTGCTCCATCTGCATTACCAGATAACTGTGCTCACTCATTCTCTTTTATCTCTCTGAATATATGTGTGTGTGTGTTTGTATATATGCATATATATACACACACATAAGATATGCATATATGTATATGTGTATACACATGCACAACACATTTTTTCTGAACCTTTTGAAAAGTAGTAGCATGGTCCTTTACTCCTATATACTACAATACCTAAAAATAAAAATTTCCTAAAAATAAAAATATTGTTTTATATACAAGTAAAGTTAAAATTGATGCATTTTTCTAATCCTTCATCTGTATTTCAATTTTGTTAGTTAACCCAACGATATCCTTTATACTGTTGTTTTTCCTCAGGAAAAACAGGGTCGGGACTGTTTTTAGGACTCAACCTAGGATCAGGTATTACATTTAGTCTCTTCAGTCACCTTTAATCTGGAGCATTTCTATAAAGCTTTGTTTTGCTTTTATAGCATTCAAATTTTTGAAAACTGTAATTCCATCTTTAATAATAGAGAATTCTTTGTTTTGGTTTTACATGATGTTTCTTTGTGGGTAGATTGAGGTGACATGTTCTGTGCCCAATACAGAGTGAGAGATGATGTGCTCTTCTCAGGGTGTCACATCAGGAGGCACACTATATCCATCTGCCCTCAACGGGGATGTTAATTTTGATGACCTAGTCAGAGTAGTGCCCAGTTTCTCTACTGTGTGGTTATCAGTTTTTCTCTTGCCACTAATAAGGAAACAATTTAATGTAAATATACTAGATTACAGCTTTTTAAATGACTTGAACTAAACATATTTTTGTGATTGTACTGTGCACAGTCATACTATAAAAGCCCTAAAGTTGCCCAGACTTTCCTATCTACTTTTCTTTATCCCTGAAATGCTCTCTTTCCTCTCGGCCACCTCGCTCTGAAACTGCCTTTGTTCTTAAGGGCCACGTGACAACATCCACCCAGTCTTTTTGCTTCCTGACTTTTCTCAGTCTGAGCCTGACTTCTGGAATCAGACTGAACATGTTGGGTGTGTTCTCTGCAGAGAGCTCTGCTGAGGTAATTACAGGTTCTGGAAACCATAGTGACCTGAACTTTACTGAGGGAGGTAACCTATTTGGAGATAAAGTCCAAATATGGTCAAGAATGAAAGCAAAAGTTTGAAGCCAGAAAGTCAATTCTTAGCCTCAGAATGGGAGGTTATGTAAGGCCCCAAAAGGGCAATCAATCATGAAATTCAAAGCCAAAATCAACAGGTTGAGAGACGTGGTACAATTTGTGTTAAGGCAATAGGTTTAGAATTAATGCCCTGAGGTTGATAGAGGTCTGTCTTTATGTGAAAACAGCTCTGCAGCAAAGACACAAGCCTGATAGCCTAACAGAGCCTGACTCTGCCCTGCTTTGGCTTTGAATGATAGAACACCATGACTCAATAAGGGGCATGACCTCAGAGAGGGTAGAGCAGGCTCCCAATAAGAGTAAGCATAGTGAGGATGCATGGTGCAGTTCTAGAAAGAAAAGAGCCAATTGAGTGCATCACTTGAATTATTTCCCTTGGTGGGAAATGTATTTTATTTCTATGTAATATTATAAAAAACAGTTTAGAAACACACTGTATTATAAACTTTAAGCTCACTTCCAAAGATACAGGAGAACAAGAAAAACATGCATGAAGTTAGTAAAAGTGATCTAATTAGCATTCTTATAGAATGAGCTGTAGATTTACTGGAGTCTTACTAAAGGGAAAAATACCAGAGCACCAGACTAGCACATCAATCATTTGAGATTGTCTGACAGTCTTGAAGAGGATATCCTGGCTGCAGAAAGCACACTGCTGTCTTAAGGCTAGGGGCCCAGGTCAGAACATAGGAAGAACAAAAGATGAGCAGTTTTGAAAGGAACCAGCTGGCTTAAGGTGATCCAAAGTGCACAGATGTTAAAACCTTAGTGTTCCAGCAATACAATTACCCAAAACAAGAATAACAGAATAACCACTACAAAATTATAAGACTCGATTTAGCTTTTTGACCCTTGAGGTCTGAGTATTTATGTCATGCTAATTTTTTACTACTTTAATGTAATTATATTTTGTGTCTTCTGGTTGATGGCTATAAAAAAACAAAATTTCTTACAAAAGTTGAATACTAAATTGTAACTGATCTTTATTAGAGATATGTATAGAATTCTGTCTATGTGAGATCTTAAAGATCTTTCGTGCTTTTTAAATGGTCTAAGCACAATAACCAATACTTCATAATTTCCTGTGTAATTATCTCAAACTTCCTCATACTTAATACAGGTGGTTTTATGGCAAGTCAAGAGATGGTAGATCTCAAGTCAATTATGAACTTCCTAAATTGGTAATTGAATGTAAAACAGAATAATCTAAAACTGAAAACTAAAGTGGTTTGAATCACAGGAATAATCAGGAACTAAAAACATACGAGATTTGGAAAATGTTAATTTTGTTGTTTCACAGTGTGAGTATGTGGTTAAAGTCATGAAAAATAGCTCAACATTCTTTAAGACCTTAGTCATTGTTTTCTATTTAATGATGTTGAACACTTTGTGAGTGTAAGGGGTGTTATTAATAATTATTTGGAGGCAAAACACACCCTAGAAAAGAGTTACTGTGTGCCCTTTAAAGATATTTAAAATGAAGCATCATCTATAGTAGAACCAACAGCGTACTACCTGACTTGAGACAACAAGTTTACTTACTCAACAGACATTATCAAACACTTCAAACCTTTATGGATATCTCAGTACCTTTAATGAGTATATGAGTTGGTCATGTAAAAATTCCATGTTGTATTCACCATACCATACAAGGAGATCTCCCTTGCTGTCATGTGAAGATGTGAAAACAATAATATTAAAAGTGTCCCTCTGTGACTAGTTGTCTATATTTTCAATTCTAGGGCAGAACAGCATAAAATAAGCAGAATTACAAGTTTGATTATCAAACTCTGTAAGTATATCACGTTCGTTTGTTATTTGTATTCAGAGAATGTGAGGGTGAGACTATGTAATTTAGCTGCAGCTTGCTGAGTTTTGTTTTTTTTTTTTTACCATCCAAATAGCTTCATAGAGATGAGCTTTGAAGAATGGCTTAAACATACTGTTTTTTTATTTCTTCTCAGGTTAGTGTCACTTCAAAAATAAAAATAAAAATAGGCACTCTTACTGGAACATCAGGAGTAATGCTGGGTATAAACAGGATTAGAATATACTTAACTGTGGTAATCCTTCCCGACACACATAGAGATGAATTGATAACTGGATTTGGCATTTCAAATATTTTTTACCAAGGCAAAGGCTTTAGGGTGTTTTCTCGGAATTAGAGAGTTTAGAGATGAAAAAGGTACCATTTATTATTTTCTCTTTCTGTCAGCTTAGGACTTCTCTTTGCAATCATGTTTATAATACTGGGCCTGTCTGTTCTTAAATGTTTCACCTGTTGAAGGATGTTCCATCAGAGGGTGTGCTAAAATCTTAGATTGTATGTGCCAGAGGTTTTGACTGAATAATATTCTGATAAAATCAAGGAAGGTAATGTATTGGAAAGGAACTTGGGCTTACAATCAGCAGTAGTGAGTTCTAGTCAGGAATCTGTAATATAATCTGTACATGATCTTGAGCAAATCACTTAGTGTCTCTCAATTTTCTGTTTCCTCATGTGAGATGTGAAAGGTTTTGGCTAGCCTATATTATTCAGTTTGTTAGATAATCAGATAAATATATCATTTAATCAAATTAACCACATCAGTGTATCAGTTCAGCCAAAATATTTGTCATTTATATAAGAAAGACTATAAGAAATCAGAAAACTAGATTTTTATTTTCTTAACAATAGTACTACTTTGCCAAGTAATGGCAACTTAAAAGAGCTTTCTCTCAAACCTGGCAGTATTACACCATTTTTGCTACAATATTATTTTCAGGAATATAATCACGGCTTACCTATTACCAGGGCCTTAGAGTATAAATGAAAAAAAAATGATTAGCTTTTGCAATCCTACTTTATCCTGGGACTCAATAAAGAAAATTAGTATCCTTCTTTAAAAAAAAAGGGGAAAAAAGATGACTATATTCCCATTCCTCCAAAATATAGAATATCAAATGAAGAGTAAATAGACACTAACCTCTCCTCCCCCTTTTTTTTTTTTAACTCCAGAGCTAACTGATCTGAATAATTTTCTCTTCACCAAAACTGGTAGAATATTTTACTTTATCATCAGGTTATTTTTGATTGCAAAGCTGTAACGTCACAGTATACTTATACTGAAAAATGCATAGGATTTGGAATCAGGAGATCTAGCTTCAAGAATCTGTTCTATTACCTCATATATATATAATTTGAGTAATTTCTTTAAAGGTTTAAGGAAACCTTTGAATCTTGGTTTCCTAATTACTAACAAGGCAGTAGCAGTAATATTTGTCATTGGAACGTCTATTGGTAAGAAATTAAATAATGAATGTGAATCATAAAGACTAGTATGCCTTCTTATTAGCGCTATTATAAAAATATTTTAAAATATTTTATATTTAATAAATTGTATTACTTTCATCTGACTACATATAGATAACATCGCACCTTTATAGACAGTATTATTAAGTTCAAATATTAAAGATGGAAGGAAGGAAGAGGAATGGAACTAATATTTCTGGAGCACCCTGCCACAGCATCATGATGGAAAAGTCAGGGAGTGCTTTATTTTCTAACTCCAATGTAATGTACTTTCTAACTGCTGTGTAAGAGACAATGCACCACCACATTGTCACCTGTGTAAGAGAAGGAAACTCAACCCTTTGGGGTTCTTAAATTGTAGAACAAAGAAGACTTGCCCCAATATGGAGAAACTCTAGTTTTTCTTGACCACTTCCTTTCTGCACCATTTCTCCAAATTTTATTTTTTAATATAGAAACCATTATAAGTATATAGCTTACAAATCTAATCAATATGTTTCCACACAAATCTGCAAACTGATTTGTATATAAGAAGACCCTATTCAAGTTTGAATTCAGGTGGTTATTTAGCTGAAATGCCATGAGAAAAAAAAAAAAGAAAAATCGTCTTCATTGTGAATTTGAGATAATTACTTTCAAAAATCACTGCAGCCCCAATCCAAGAAGGGACCACAGGGTTTAATTGTGGGTGTGCTATTTACAGATTAATTAGGACATTTAACTTCATTTTTTATACCACAGAATTAATCCCATAAAAATTAGTGATCTCGAAGGAGTCAGTTGTCAAACTCTGACAGGATCTCTTTGCCATAATCTATTAAAATGCTGCTTTTATCTTGTCTTGCCTGTGTCATATTTTATGGATTTTTTCATAAACACTGCCTATACTTCATAAATGTCTCAATTTTCTAGTCTATTAACATTACTTCAAAAGCAATTGATAAAAGAGTAGGGCATGCATGAAATAATACACCAATAATGTGAAGTGCTGGAGGCAAGAACAGTGGGTAGGATCTGCACAGCTTGTGAGCTGAAACAATGAAAGGATGTTTTATCTACTACAATAAAGAAACAAATGATCATTTTTGATAGTAGAAAAGAGATTGCTAGTAATTGGGCAGATGAAAAATGGGTTATACAGAAAATACAGCATAGTTTGAAAATGATAACTGAAATGAGAAAATAAATGTCCCCAAGTATATATTTACATTAGTGGAAACCTTTTCCCTTTTGTTACCAAAGATTTGGTATTCAGTTTGATTTGTCTTAGTTCTAGATATGATGGTTTTATTCTATATATAAATATTTCCTTTGTATGCATATATTTTTACCAAACCTATATATGTATTTTATGTATTGACTACAATAAATGTTGGAATTTGGTTTTTAAATCTTTTTAATTATTATTATTATTATTTTGAGATGGAGTCTCACTCTGCCGCCCAGGCTCGAGTGCAGTGGCACTATCTTAGCTCACTGCAACCTCCGCCTCCCAGGTTCAAGCAGTTATCCTGCCTCAGCCTCCCAAGTGGCTGGGATTACAGGCACATGCCACCACACCCAGCTAATTTTTTATATTTTTGGTAGAGATGGGGTTTTACCATGTTAGCCAGGCCGGTCTCAAACTCCTGACCTCAAGTGATTCACCCACCTTGGCCTCCGAAAGTGCTGGGATTACAGAGGCATGAGCCACCACGCCCGGCCTAATTTTTTTATTCTAGTTTTTGAAGTTATTTTAATTTTTCTTTTAATGTATAGATGATATGTCTATAGCATCCTCTTTAGATTTCTTAAGCCCTAATATAAGACCTAATATAATTAAATAAGAATCTTAATTTGGATTTGTACCACAAATTTAATTGAATAAACTGACTTTTCAAAAACTTATTTGGTAATTATGTATTTAAATCAACTAAATGAAAAACAAAGAGGAGAAAAGTCACTGAGCAAGATGCAGAATTCCTAATTTTTCTTTCATGTTATTCTTCGTATTTTACCACCTGACTTAGCTAAATAAAGCCAGATATTGTCTGAGCTTTCATTCTTAAGGCATCATGTTATAAACAGAGTGACCTTAGAGCTCAGTATGTCTGCACAGTCCTGGTGTTTTCCTGTAATTATCAATAGCTCCTCCTTTCACTTTCATAAGTGTCCTGGCTTGGATGACAAAGTCATGGTTACCTATTAAAATATGTGATCAAGTAAATATTGGAAGAAATGTTTGAGTAATACATACGGTTTTAAATTTCTCAAAACCTACATAGTACTATGTAAAATAATTAGTGTGATTTAGTGTTAAGGTCTTTGGTTCTTGATTCATATAATTCCTTTTTTAACTTGGAAATGAGACCATTTTCTTGTTGCTCAGATCAAGAAATAATCTCAGATAACTCAAGTGTGATCATTCAATTCTAATACTTGAAAAGAAGATGATTTTTCTCATGCCTTGATAGATGGTGATAGAATACATTGCTGAATTGTCCTAGTGGCACTCTATAAAACAGGTAATGTAGTGGGGTGAAGTACAGGACTCATCATAATGATGATGCCATGTGTGCCTGTAAGCTTACAGGGGCACAGAAGATCATGACCAAGGGGGATTCTTTAGTTCTCAAATGTTGCAAAGAATATTTGAAACTCCCTGTCCTTGGTACATAACTTATGGAAACAGTCAACAAAATTATGTGGAAAATATCCAGACTTACCATATGGGGTGAAAGATAATACCCAACGTAATAGTTTATTAACTTGACTTAATTCCCACTTCTCTCCCATTTGTCTTTTCCCACGTCAGGAAACAGCATAAATACTCACCCAGTTGCTCAAGCCAAAAACATAGGCATTTTTCATGTTCTCTTTTGTCCATTACATCCGTAAACAAATGCTGCCACTTTAGTCCCGGAACGATTCAGAATCTACCTGCTGCTTTTCATCTCCGTTCTTACAATCATAACCCGAGCTACCTTCATTCTTCTCTACGGTTTTACAATTGCCATGTTACCTGCTCTGCCTGCTTCTACTCTGGCTGCCTCCTCCATGATTTATTCTCAATGTAGTACTCAAAATGATCTTTTAAGAATGTAAGTCTGATTACACAATTCAATAGCTTCCGTTACATTTAAAACAAAACCCAAGCTTCTCACTGTGGCCTATGAGTACTACATGATTATACCCTTGTCTGCCCCATCTCCTACCATTTTTTCATTTTTCACTGTGCTCCATCTTCCATTTTTGTTCATTCAGCATGCCAAGCTTGTTCTCATTTGCTGTTGCCCCTGCATGGGTGGCCTAAAACAAATGATTTTCTTCCCAAGTGTTTGTGAAATCCATTCACTTCTCACCACTTCTGTGCTCACAGTCCTAGTACAAGCGCCCATCGTCACTCATCCAAACTGCCCTAGCAACTTCCTCACTGGTCTCCGCGTGTTAAATCGGCTATCCAGCCAGGGTGATATTTTGATAAGTGCATGTTTGATTGTGTTGAGCCCTAGAACTATATTCTAGGAGCTGAACATGCAGCCCTGGCCTGATAGAGTTTATATTTTATTGGAGAAGCAGATACCAAGCACGCACAAAAAAGAATACTTTCAGATTCTGCTAAATACTATGAAGAAAATAAGTCGAGACTTAGTGATAGAGAATAATTGAGGCGAGATCCATTTTTAGATTAGGGAGTCAGGGAAGTCTTTCCCTAAGGTGTATCTATGTGAACAGCTGGGGAGAGGCAGGAAGGAGTTAGGAATGGGGAAACATAGTGAGTGAGAAAGAACATGTTAGAGATGGGGCGCGCTCTCCCAGCAGCCCGCGCTACCTGACCCCGCGCCGCCCAGCGCCCCGCGGACTCAGCGGAGGGTGGTGCCGCCGTTGGCTCCTGCCTCCCCGGCTCCGCGCTGCCGCCACCGCGGCCCATGGGCAGAGTCGGCGGGCGGGCCGGCATTAAACCGAAGAAAAGATGTCCCTGTACGATCAGAGGAAACCAGTGACTCAAAAACAGAAGGCTGGTCCAAAAACTTCAAACTTCTACAGTCTCAGCTTCAGGTGAAGAAGGCAGCTCTCACTCAGGCAAAGAGCCAAAGGACGAAACAAGGTACAGTTCTTGCCCCAGTCATTGACCTACAACGAGGTGGCTCCTCAGATGACCGGGCAAATTGTGGACACACCACCGCATGTGCCAGCTGGGCTGAAGGATCCTGTTCCCAGTGGGTTTTCTGCAGGGGAAGTTCTGATTCCCTTAGCTGACGAATATGATCCTATGTTTCCTAACGATTGTAAGAAAGTAGTGAAACGCCAGAGAGGAAGGACAAAGACAGCGGGAGCTGGAAAGACAGAAGAAATAGAAGAAAGAGAAGAAAGGCATAAATACAGACATGATGCACGTGAGTTTTCAAGGAGTTCAGATCCGGATTCTGATGAAGATGAAGATTAGGAGCGAGAGAAGAGGAAAACAAGTATGGGCGGAGCTGCCATTGCCTCACCCACTTCTCTGGCAGTAAAAGACAGTTACCCCGAGATTTTCCTTATGAAGAGGACTCAAGACCTCGATCACAGTCTTCCAAAACTGCCATTCCTCCCCCAGTGTACGAGGAACAAGACAGACCGAGATCTCCAACCCGGCCCAGCGCAACTCCTTCCTCGCTAACTTGGGGGGCACGGTGGCGCACAAGATCATACAGAAGTACGGCTTCCGGGAGGGCCAGGGTCTGGGGAAGCATGAGCAGGGGCTGAGCACCGCCTTTTCGGTGGAGAAGACCAGCAAGCTTGGTGGCAAGATCATCGTGGGTGACGCCACGGAGAAAGATGCATCCAAGAAGTCAGATTCAAATCCACTGACTGAAATACTTAAGTGTCTTAATAAAGTGGTCCTACTAAGGAACATGGTTGGTGCGGGAAAGGTGGATGAAGACTTGGAAGTTAAAACCAAGGAAGAACGTGAAAAATATCTCAAAGTTGGGGAAAGTGTGTTGTTTGAAATTCTGGTGCCCCTGATGATGAAGCAGTACGGATATTTTTAGAATTTGAGAGAGTTAAATCAGCAATTCAAGCGGTTATTGACTCGAATGGGAGGTATTTTGGTGGACAGGTGGCAAATGCATGTTTCTACAATTTGGAAAAATTCAGTATCTTGGATTTGGCAGAACAAGTTTGATTTTAAGAACTAGAGCACAAGTCATCTCCGGTGATCCTTAAATGAACTGCAGGCCGAGAAAAGAAGGAAAAAGGTCACAGCCTCCATGACTGTTGCATACTGAGACTCTTGGAGGGACTTGTAAGATATATGTTGGTTGATCCCTTTTTTATTTTGTGGCTTTTTAATATAGTATAAAAATCCGTTTACAAAAAAAACAAAAAGAAAATGTTAGAGATAAGATTGGAGAGATGGGAGGCAATAATAAGATAAAGAGCAGTGGATTTGGCACATAATCTGGAGGTAGAATTAACAGAGGTTGCTGATGATTGGTGATGGAAGGGTAGAAATTAAGGATGAAACCTAGGTTTTTGCCTTGGCCACCAAATAAATGGTAGTCTTATAAATTGAGATGGAGAAGTGTAGGGAAGGAGAGGGTTTGTTAGTGGAGAGAAAGTTTTTTTGACAGGGGTGGCTGGAGCAGGTTAAATTGACTGTATCTAGTAGACCACTAAGTGGCTGTATCAAGCAGGTAGATGATTGTGAATCTAGAACTCAAAGTCAGAGCTATAGATATAAAATGGAAAAATCACAGCATATAGATAGAGATTAAAGTCTAGGAACTGAGTAAAGTCACCTATAGAGAAAAGATAGAGAAGTGAAGAGGAGAGAGATCAAGTCCTATAGCACTTTTAATAAGATCAGGCAATCTCCTTACCAAAAAAAAATGTGGTCTCTCAGAAGAAGAAATGAGAGACTGGGGGAAAAAAATAAAGAATTAGGTCAAGGGACAAATGCTGCTCTGAATACAATAAGAAAAGGACAGGAACTGGCCTCAGGATTTGTCAAAATGAAAATTGTTGAGAACTTAGACAAGACCAGATTCAACAGATCAGTGGAGATGAAAACCTAATAGGTTTAAAAAAAAAAAAAAACTGAGGGAGGGAAAAGAGTGGATATAGATTTCACTTTCAAGGGGCTTTGCTGTAAAGGGGAACAGAAAAAAGGCAGTTGACAGAAAGTTGAGGACAAGGGGCTAAAAAATACTGGTTTCAAGTTTGGAGTCATTATAGCACTTTTTTTATGTTAATGGGTATAATTCATGAAAAAGGATAAAACTGAAGACACGGGACAGTGAAATCATAATTCCAGAATCTAAATCTGTGTGTTGGCAAGATAGGTTGGAACTTGAAGTGGAGTGATTAGTCTTAGATAGGAGCAGGGATAATTCTATTGTGATCCTAGGGAAGGTGCAGCATATGGGCTCATCAGGCTATGGACTTGGTATTGGGAATGTGGAATAAGAAGCCAGGCCATCAGCTGTAGTCCCAGCTACTCGGGAGGCTGAGGCAGGAGAATGGCGTGAACCCGGGAAGCGGAGCTTGCAGTGAGCCGAGATTGCGCCACTGCAGTCCGCAGTCCGGCCTGGGCGACAGAGCGAGACTCCGTCTCAAAAAAAAAAAGAAGCCAGGCCATCAGGTTAGAGAATATGAGATAAAAAATGGTTGTCAGGAGAAAGAGAAAGTTAAAGTACTAGGAAAATATAGTAAGATTGGGCAGCATTAAATACCTGCTTGAAATTTATCATCATAAATGTAATGTGAAATCTGTCTCCAGTTATGTGTTTTTCTCTAGTAACATTCAGGAGCTTGAATAGTGGCACAAAGTAGCTGGAGAGTTGGGTGTAGCTTTAGAGATTTTGACAAGAAAATACAATAGAGTAGCAAGGAGCAAAGGAATTATGTGTATGATTAAAGTGATAGAGCCTAGAATCTGAGCCAGATAAAGAAGGACGTGAGCATATTGGGAGTGAGAGTGGTATAGTAAAAAGTGGTAGGGTCAATAAATTGGAGGTCTGAAAGAGATATAAAAATTTTAGACGAAGGGAGCTAGAATAAGTAGGCTTTAAAATTAGAAGATGGTAGTTAGCAAATCTGCACTTAAAAATCAAAATTTTAGAAGTAATGTGGTTATTGGTGATGACAAGGCCAACCAGTGTTTCAAAAACTTTTTAAAATGGACATAGTAAGGCCAGGCGTGGTGGCTCACACCTGTAATCCTGGCACTTTGGGAGGCCAAGGCAGGTGGATCAAGAGGTCAGGGGATCGAGACCATCCTGGCTAACACGGTGAAACCCCATCTCTACTAAAAATACAAAAAATTAGCCGGACATGGTAGCGGGCGCCTATAGTCCCAGCTACTTGGGAGGCTGAGGCAAGAGAATGGCGTGAACCCAGGAGGCAGAGTTTGCAGTGAACAGAGATCGCGCCACTGCACTCCAGCCTGCCTGGAGTGCTTTATTTTTGAGATAGAGCGAGACTCTATCTCAAAAATAAAATAAAATAAAATAAAATAGACATAGTAAGTAATATGATGTTCAAGGCAACTCAATATGCACAATGCATACATAATATGTAATTGAAAAAATTATGAAACAATATTTACCTGACTTCATTCAATAAAGTCCAATATTTTAAAATCTATTCTATGTTACTTAAAAGGAAAAAAACGGGTTATAACTCATTAAATTGATTTTTATGATTACTAATGGATCAGACTTTGCATCCTGAAAACAGCTCTTGTGACCATGGGAATGAGTGATTGGTGTGGGGTGGAGGAAAGGATTGTTGGTATTGTAGAATTCAGACACCTGAGAGTCCACAGTGTCAGATGGATTATCTACCTAGATGTGGAAGCCATCAAGGATGATGACAGGAGTAATGGCATGGAGGAAGACAATGAAAGTGGTGGTGTAGTCTGGTAGTGGTTTGTACTTCTAAGAGACTGGAGATTTTAAAGAGCTAGAGAAGACACATTACCTCCAGGTCCTAGAACGTGGGTGGGAAAGATAAAGCAACTTTCATTTTGAAGTACTCAGGAAAAGATGCAGACTTAGAGTCCTGTCTTCACTGTGAGCAAAAAGGTGAAGAAAAAGTCAACAGAAATAACTGTGGACTTGGGGGGATTTTGTTACTGAGAGATTCTGATTTCCATAGGGTCCAAGGAAAGGCTTTGGGAGGTCAGAGATGGGTAGCAGATGGGTTTAATGAAAATGACTTGGGAGGCTTGGACTGAAATTAAATGTGGGCCTGGTTAGTTTTGATGGTAACACAATGAAAAGTGGGTAGTGGCCCATATTAGCCTTCTTCACAGGCTTGGTTTCTTAGCTAGTTCGTAGAGGTGAGATCGTTGTGTGTTAGTTAAGGAAGAGCAGCCTCCCTGCGAGCAGGGTGGTTCCAGCAACTGCCCTTCAACTCTGAATGCTGACATGGCACTAGGAGGGAGGATTGGGACTGTGAGGAAAGGCAATGTCACTGAGCCCCGTGAACTCACCATGCAACAGGACCTTTGCACATATCTCATCCTGTTCCCGACTAACTAGCTGTTTGTCTTCTCTTTGATTTCTGTACAAGTCTCATAGCTTTAGGAAAACCTTCCCTCACTCCAGTGGCCTCCCTGATCCAGTTCTTATAGCTCTTTGCACCTCACCTTTATCTCATATGTCACAGCTGCAGTTTTATATCTATCTGTGGGATTGTTTTATTAAGTTTGACTCCTTTGCTAGACTAGGCTCTGTGTAAAAGGGACTATACCTGTTTTGGTTCACTGTTGTATCTCAAGCACAGTATATAGTGTGTAGTAGGTGCACACAAAGATAAATTTAATGAATTAATACAATCAGAGTTAGCAGACATTGAAGACAAAAAAAACGGCAAAGGAGACTAAAGAGAACCAACAGGAGGTACTGTTGAAGTTGAAGTTGCAAGGAGGATTTCTTGTTGCAACTAGTAGTGTCTACAGCTCAATCCTCATGGACATGAACCAACTGATCTTGAAAGGACAATACTACAAACCTACTGTCTGAAAGCAAAGAACTATTTAAAGACTATATTAATAGCAACAGTAATCGCCAGAGGGATATGAGATGGAAATTTAGGGGAACAGCAAGTCTAAGGCAGCTTCAAAGGCAACTCCCTCAAGAATCTAGTCCTAACTAAGGAAACAATTGTTATAGTTCTTCAAGGACTGAGGGAGTAGGATAGATTCAGGAAACAAGAGGGGCATTTGGGTTGGGGATGGAGTAGGAGGAAAGGGGGATAGGAGTGGCATTACAGCATTTTCGAAGCAGGGAAACAACTGGCTATATACGGAGTCAATTCAGGAACTAGGGCACTTTGAGGAGTGTGGTCGTGCCAAAGCCAGTTCACTGAGAAAGGGCTGAGTTAGTCAAAGTTGGAGCAAACAACTGGACTGGCTGAGATGTGAAGCTCTCTCCCTACTGAGTAGGACTTAGAGGCTAGAGGTTGGATTGCCAATGGTTTTATGGTAACTGTGCCCCTTATGCTAACAAGTGTCACCCAAGATAAATAAGACAATGATGCAGAATTAGCTAATCTTGGACAAAAGTCCTAACAAAGTTGAAGAATCACCACTAGGGAAGATTTCATTCTGTTTCCATTTTAATTCTGCACCAGTCAGGGACACCATTACATTCCTTTCACATCCACCACCTCTGTGCGTTTACAGTGCATCCTCTTCCTTTGTCTTATGAAGACCTGCATTTCAGAAGCAATTTTTCCCCCTTGCTAGATCATCATTCAGTAGCAGAATAGGACACCCCTGAGCAATCACTGAGTTTCATCTTTCTGTCACAAAGGAATTCAATGACTCACCTCTTGCAACTACACTAACTCTTTCAGGCCAAGAGGGCACTGGTCAGCGTTTTGGAGGAAGTAATTTACTAAATGGTGCCCTTGTGGCCAGAAAGACTCAACACACATAAAAGGAGAAACCACAGACTCCACTTCTCCTGCTCAGAGTGTTGGAAACAATTAGGATTAATTATGTGTTTTTGTGTGGAAGTGATGATATGAATTTCAATGGCATACAGGAAAAGGAGATAAGCCTATTTTTTTAAAGAAAATAGTTCCGGTTTAGGTCCATTATAGCTGCACAATGTCATTATGAGATATGAGAAAGAGATAACTAAATTATTCATATTACAATTTTATTTGTGCTCTATTCTTTATTTTTCCTGGAAAAAGTCCCTATTTGTTATTAAAACTAGCATGTTTTATAAAGAGATATATGTTAATTACACAGAAAGCTGCCTTAGTCAGAATAGCAAATTCTATAGTGAATTTCAGAGTTTTTAAAATGTGTGCTCTCTATGCTGTAGAATATTTCTTGCTAATGGTTCATGCCATCTATATATCTAGTGATCTTTGAACCTTATGTTCATTATTATGGTTATAGCTGTACCCAAATGGCAGCATATTATTAAAATATGAGATAATGATTGAAGAAACTAAATATAATTATGCTTGTAAAGGAAAACAAACCTAGGAGTAAGTTTTTAGGAGGCAAAATAATACCTTTAAAATGTTATATTCAAAGTAAACATATTACGACAGATGAGAAATGCCAGATTTTCAGGCAAAGGGTGAGAAACTGAACTGAGTTTCAAAAGCCATCTCAAAAAAGTTGTTCACTTTTAAAAAAAAGTACATTTTCTAAAAAGTAGCAAGTTTCCCAGCATTTCTTTTTTAAAAATATGCATTTTCTGTTGTTCAAATGAATAAATATAAAATTATTTTCATTTTGGCACTTTCTAAAATCCTGATCCTACCAGTGGGTAAAATCATCACTAACTTTGCAGTATTGACTTTTAGCTCTGTAGTCCTACTTCCATGTCATGAAGGCCAGCAGCCGAAAAAAATAATGAAGACTTATCCCAGTCACCAGTTGAACAAATTCTGTTATCATATTAGTCCTGAACATTTAGCAGGGAAAATAATATCAAATATTCTCATATCAAGGTACAGAAGTATCAGTCTCATGGCAGACCCAGATTTGGAGGGCTAATGTTAAGCTAGATATCTTTCAGAGTAACCAAGAGTAGATCATTGATCTACTGAATCCTCTCTTTAGAATGAGATATATTTATTATTGGTTAGGACCAGGTAGACAATTTACATTTGTGGTATGTGGTTAATGTAACAATAAGTTAATAACACTATCAGGTGTCTGGAGCGTGTTTACTTTGGATACAACTATAAAGAATACATTTTTAGCATGGCAATTTTTTCCCAAATTTTCATCAAAAAATAAATGATTTATGAGAATGCTTTTTGAGATTACATGAACATTTAGATATTTGTATTGATAATTTTTTTACACTACTTCTCCTTTTAGGGCTCAGTTTTGAAAGCTCTCCTGAGAAAGGAGGAAAAAGCATTTATATGAGGAAGCAAGAAGACTGGAAATGAATTAAGTATTAGAGGAGTAGAGTGGCAGTGACTAAGGTCAGAAAAAAACTAAGTGAGCAAAGAGAACTGAACAAAATAGCAAAAGAAGAGAACAGTGGTGTATGAAATAGGAAATAAAGTGAGGACTATCTCAGAAAAGAAGAAAAATAAGACCCAGAAAAAAATATATATCTCTCAAGAAAATACCTACCTGACAATATAATTTCCATTAATCTCTATCCACATACCCTTCTTCATATCTGTCTAGTCATTCATAGGCAGACAAGGCTGAGCTATCACCTTAAGCCTAAGATATCACATCATCTTTTGTAGCTGAGATTCTGGAAGTAAATCCTGGAAAATTGGGAGGAGGTGAGAACATTAAGAGATTATAAGAAAATTTAAGCCATTTTTCTTCTGACTTAATTTTCATCTTCATAAGAATATCTTATCCAAATGAGCATAAAATATGAAAGAAGAGCCAAAAATTAACAAATAACAGGCCTCCATAAAGACAAGAGTGTGATGCTGTGGAGTTTTGTCATAACATAAAAATCTGTAGAAGGTTAGGATGTTTGTCACTTTTGGTTTATGTGATGCTTATTTTTTGTCAGCATGTATAATCCCAAGTAATTTATTATAATAGATTTTAGAAGGTAAAATAAATAATTTAACCTATCCCATTCTCATGTAGTTTCTAAGGATTCCCAACGTAAGTCAAATGTGTCTAAAAGAAACAATGTCCACCATGTAAGTTACTCACAGACAATAAAGGAAGTTGATTACCTAGGCTCCAAAACCATTAGCCATCCCTTGGTGTAATTTACCTGGATTACTAACCAATGTTTAATATATTTTTCCTACTTATTGTTGATTTTCAGCTTGTAGGCATGTAGGTTTTTATTTTAAATCACTGTCAAATTGTGAAACTTAACAAAAAATGGCAGTGGGTGATTTTTCTGTAATGCTCCTGCATTCACTTCTTTGAATGTTAGGTTAGTTTTTGGCTAATGGTTTTGGAGCCTAGGTAAGCAACTTCACTTATTGTCTGTAAGTTACATGGTGGATATTGTTTCTTTTAGACATATTTTACTTGTGTTGGAAATTGTTAATAACTACACGAGAATGTGATAGGTTTAATTAATTATTTTGCCTTCTAAAATATATTATAATTAGTTACTTGGGATTATATGTGCTGACAAAAAAAAAAAGTATCACACAAACCAAAAGTGATAAACATCCTAACCTTCTGGCAACAAACAACTATGGCATGCACAAAGGGCGGATGCTTTAAGTGGCAGAAAGGGGGACGGAAGTGGGTAATTATTTGTAGCAATGCTTTTACTGTTGTTCGAAATGAGACAGACTAACAGTGGCAGCAGTCATTTTGCTGAATCAAAGTCCATGTTAGTCACATTATACACTGCCACAAAAGGTTGTTAAGGCTGGTATTAGCATGTACCACTGAGGACATTGGAAGGACTCGATCTGTCACACTAAATCGCCTTCTTGCCCTCAACCATTGAAGTCTCCAGCTCCTCTGACATGTTCTTTCATTAATGGCCTGGCCTTGACAACTGATCCTAATTGCCTCTGAACTGCACTTCATGTATTATTGGTGTCTGCCTGCCCTGGTTCATGTCAACAAGCTACAGCATGTGCAGGGTGTGCCCAGTGCCTTTGCAGAAATGATGTTCACATCGTCATATTCCTCTGAGGGGATTGGGTCTCGCTGGAAGTAAAGTAGAAAGCTAAAGATCTTCCTGTCTCTTCTTTGTAATACCTTAATGTTGATTTGTGCTGTGTACCTACTAAGCTCATCTAAAGGACTCACTAAAACATTAAACCAATTATGCAACATTCCATTAAGGCACAGATGTAAATGCTGGCTTCAATTTGCCCTTGTTTTAGTAAGTGGTAAAATGTGTGTTCATTGCAAAACCTTTCCAACTTTAGTTAATATGGCTTACATTTCTTTTCAACTTTAGTGTGGTTTACTTTTATTTTGAGTATGCATAACAATTTCAATTTAATGTATGATAATGGCCAAAAGAGCCTACAATATAGTTTCCAGGTAGCAGTACGCATTAGACCAGAACTCCCAAAAGTAAATTATTGAAGGTTTGAATAGGGTATTTTAGTCTTAACATTTATCAGCAGATTTATATTTACTACATTTTCTAAAAGTAGCTAAAATAATCAATTTTAGTGCATTACATGTATTTAAAACCTTTATTTTGTTCTGACATTTCAGGAAACATTCATAAAGGACAAAACAGTTTAGATACATTTTAATTTATAAGATGAGTTATTTGCTTTCAGCAAAATAGTTTAGAATCTAAAACATAACATTAGAAATGTTCAAGATATTTACCTCTTTTTCTGAAAATGTCTCTGAGATTTAAAATTTGCCTCATTCCTATGACAATTTTTTACAATCACATCTCTGAACAATAATATGAGATTCTTTCAATCTTTTCATCCTTTTTTATTTATTGAAGGCAGTTTTCTGGTGAGCCTTTTAAGCATGCAAGTTCTACCCATGATCATAAAAAATAAATCACAGAAGCTCTTCGGTGCTAGGTATCATTTAGCCTAATCTAGACAGTGACATTTGGGCCACTAACAGCATAATCATGGTTATTGCTACAAATTGCTCCATGTTTGAGTTTTAATGTTATAAGTAAATTATGCCAGGGGATAAAATATATGTTTCTTTGGGAATTAAACATGTTTATTTCAGCAATGTGGCCATGGAATAGCACGGAAACCTTAAGCTTGTTTCATGTAGTAATACTGCCACCTTCTGAAGCCCAGAGGAATTGTCCTCAAGGTTAGCTGTTTTAAGAGCCATCTCATTTGTAGTGATCCAGCAGCCAGAAACTTCTAAGTCTAGAAACCATCTGGCTTTTATCATAGAAATGATAAGTTTGATTTTAATCTTCATTTAAAATAAGTAGAAATGAATACAGGTATCCAACAGTCGGTAAAAATACAAGTTCCTCTTTTCATTTTACCCCCAAAAGCCTTTTATTTTCTGGACTTTAGAACTATCTTTTTTTGGTGATGTGTAGTTTCCTGTTAAAAAGCTCAGCTGATGTAAAGCTAATTCTGATATGGAAGTTACACAGCAAGAGCAGTTGCCTGGCAGAAGTGGGGCAGTGGTGGCCACAGCTGGGATTGTGAGAAGGGGATGGCAAATGTTTTCCTATCATTCAATCAGACAGTATGCCCTTCAGCAGAACAACAAGCTCTCCTGATTCTTTAGAATTAGTGAGATTAGCATGAAGCACATAATGCAGGATGATGGGATTTGTCATAATTTGCATTGTCCTGGAAAAATGCGGGTTGATAGAGCGATGCATCTTGGAGCATGTCATGTCCCACGGGCAGGTCACAGAGGAAGCTTGGCAGAAATAATTTTGTGATATGTGCATCAGTTGCAAATGCTTCATAAGTAATTTGTCAAAATAAAATAAATAGGAAGCGGTTAGGAAGGTAGAGAAAGTAGGGTCATTGTAAACGTACCTCAAAAAAAATTAGATATGTCATCCTCAAATATCACATTTTTAGTGATTAAATGAAAATACATACAATGAATGACTAGACTTATTCTCCTTTTGGTTTTAAATTTCCAAAACCTTACTGGTAAGTCTTTCCTTTTTCCTAAAAGTAAAATCTTCCCTAAAAGTAAAATCTTACTGGTAAACCTTTCCTTTTTCCTAAAGGTAAAATCTTGGAAAATACGTGTGTGTTTCTGCAAAGTTTATTTATGAAAGCCCCTTATAGAAATTATGAAATATAGCTACATTAGGGAAGGTTTTCTGAGAATTTGCATCTGACCTTGATAATGTTCCCAAACTACAGATAGGAAAGGATAATCAGTATGTAGTTGACAAAATGAACATGACACTGTAACTTATCTGCAGCAGCATTTCTGGAAATGGGCATATAGAATTCAGACAGGCAAGGGGAGCATGCTTATTCAGCATAGCATTGCAAGAATGAAAGGTCCAGTGTCAGGTATTGTCCGTGGTTTATTTATGGAGTACCTGACAGTGATGCCACTGTCTTTGATATTTAGAAATTTCTTCTATCCAAGAACATTATAGCTAGTGTTTACAGGTTATGTTATTTATCATTTCAATATCTGCTTCTACTGCACAAAGACATTTTGCAATGTCTCCTTTATTTGTCTTTATACATTTCAAACAAAAGATTAATGCCGGCAGTTCAGTAACACTGATCTTTTATGACAGTTGAACATTTGTGGGTTGAGGGTCTAATAAGAAAAAAAAATTTAAGTAAGGAGTTTAAGGAAAATGAAAAAAATAATCACTTGTGAAAATCAGGCTTATAATAAAAATGTATCTTCTTACTACACTGTTCGTAGGAAGAATATTCATTTTCTCAGATGGTTATAATTGTAGAATTAGGTTTTATGAAAACTAAAATTACCCTGGGGCACAGCTCAACATGAATAAATCTTTCAACACTCAGATCTGGAAACATGATACACACGAAACTAATAATGCCCTACAATTACAAGTAGATCAAGAAGAACTGTGCGAAGTTTTTAAAAAACATTATTTATTGAGTTCTGTAACATGAAAGTAACTGCAAATAATGTTAGTTCAGACTATTTTAAATCATTTGTTGTTTGTAAAATAATAGCCCTCTGTATAAACCTCATATGTTTTTAAACTTGCCCTCCTGTCTGTAATCTTCAAAACTGACTGCTTTCAAACAAACTGTTTTACTAATCAGAGATAATAAGTGCTTTGTGGTGCCAGTTGTTAAAAACTAGATTTTTTGTGAACATTATTTTTCTAATATATCATCTCTTGACTCATAAAAAGATTTTTTTAAACAAAGCCTGTTTACTGAGTTGTAACATTTCAGCCCAATTTCAGCATTGTGGATATGCTGTACGATATTTATTTCATTAAGAGTTGGTATTGTAGACTTCAGTCTTGTGTCACATTTTAACAACTTTTTTCTATTGTCTTCTTTTTGCTGTATACTACTGCGTCAAAAAAAGAAAAGGCACCTGTTGCTTCTCCCATGAAATTCCTTTCCTCAGAGGAAAAGTGCTTACAGTGACAGATAATTTGCCTTGGTCAGAAGTTTTCTAGCATTTTCCCCTAAATAGCAAAGCCATAATACTCTTAGATAATCTTCAGGGGAGAACAAAAATACCTCTTAGTTCTCTTAGCAGAAAATTATGATAGATAATTTAAAAAAGAAAAACTTTTTCAAATAAGTATACATCTCACCAGTCCCCTCCCAAAAATTTTAATAAACTAAGGATTTAAATTTACCTTTTCAGACAAAGTTTTCTAAATTGAATAAACAAGATAATGTACTGGATAGATCAATATTTTTATTGTCTTTAGACTTTACAATTCTTTTACTCTAGATAATGTCCACTAACCTAGCAATGCTAGTTTAACTCTCAATGTCTTATGAACTATTTATTCAGTCATTTGTTCATTTAGTCACTATATGCTCCTACTGCTTATGTTGCCTATTCTGTGTCCTTTGAAGGATGCTGTGCAAGAGTTTATTTCCCATAGGGATGGAGAGTGAAGTGAGCAGAGAAGGCCCAATCAATGATTTAATCAAGAGGTATTCATTGGGCGAAGCACCTCATCCAGAGTTAATGGCATTGCCACTCTGCGAATGAGTCTCAGAAAATGAAGAGGTAGCTAAAGGAATTAGCTTATTAATGTGCTATCATCACATCTGGACTGGATCCAGTTCTTGGTGTTTGTCTGGAAAATTCACTGCTGCTACAGTATTGTAATACCTGGCAATTCTCATGTTAATGGAAGGGTTAGTAGTTTGTGTTTTTTAATCTACCTAGTCTGTGATGAAACTCAAATATTTATTTGACAATAAAGTGATGTTTTTTACCCAGGACAGGTGAATTCATGAAGCAAACTATATTTGTTTTCCATTCTGCTTTCACTAGCTTGTCTTTAATAAGTTCATTGCCTCAAAGATTATTAATAGCATTTGGATGATTTTTCCATTTTGCCCCAGCTTTAATAGCTGCCTCTATGAGCTCTTATTATCATTTCAGAGTTATTTCTTTAGGATTCTTTATAGTGAACAAGTGGTCTCAGGTAAAAAAAAAAAAAAAAACTCAAAGATAAAATGATAATTGAGTCAGTCCAGAATCTCATCAGGAAGAATGTGCCAGAGAAATCTAGTCTAGATATTTCTGGACATACAGGTAACTTCCTCAAGTAAACAAGAATGTTAGCTAAACAAATTTCCACTTAATTCGATACTATTTATTTGTAAATATAAAAGAAATAGATTAAGTAATTACTTAATTTTCATTGAAAATTTTAATTTGAAAAGTACTTCTTTAGAGAAAAATGGTGTGTTATTCCATTTTCACACTGCTCATAAAGACATACTCAAGACTGGGCAATTTACAAAAGAAAGAAACTAATTTACTTACAGTTACACATAACTGGGGAGGCCTCACAATCATGGCGGAAGGCAGGGAGGAGCAAGTCACATCTTATGTGGATGGCAGCAGGCAAAGAGAGAGAGCTTATGCAAAGGAACTCCTCTTTATAAAACCATCAGATCTCGTGAGACTTATTCCCTATCATGGGAATAGCATGAGAAAGACCCGCCCCCATGTTTCAATTACCTCCCACTAGGTCCCTCCCACGACACGTGGGAATTGTGGGAGCAACAATTCAAGATGAGATTTGGGTGGGGACACAGCCAAACCATATCAAATGACTACTGTAAGTTCTTTGAAAAGTTATTGGTACTGGAAAATAGGAAGAAATCAAGGGTAGGAATAAAACATACTTATTTTAGATACAATTTTTTTTATCCCGACCAGGGAGATATCTCAAATGCATCCCAATGTATATACATTTTAGGCCAGGCATGGTGGCTCACACCTGTAATCCTAACAGTTTGAGGGATGAAAGTGGGAGGATCACTTGAGCCCAGAAGTTGGAGACCACCCTGCGTAACATAGCAAGACCTCATCTCTACAAAAAATGAAAAAATTAGCTGAGCATGGTGTGCACCTATAGTCCTAGCTACTTGGAAGGCTGAGGCAGGAGGATTGCTTGAGCCCAGGAGTTCAAGGCTGCAGTGAGCTGTGATTGCACCACTGCATTCCAGCCTGGAGGACAGAATGAAGCCTTGTCTCAAAAAAAAAAAAAAAAAAAAAAAAAAAAATTTGGAGACTTCACCCATGAATTTTCCTTTTATATCTGTCATAGGTTTGCTTTTTTTTTTAATACAGAAGTCATCATACTTGTTTCTGGCTCAAACTTGCCATGCAACCCCTGAAGTCCTTTTACTAGGACTGTAGGGAAAGGAAGTATTTCTTCTTTCATTCATTTTTCCAAGCTCACCACTCCCCCAAAATATAGGTCTACTGGCTGTTACAAAATAATTTTTATTATATATATAATTTATATTGTAAAATATTTCTGAAGTTATAAGGTAAATAAATAAAACAGTAAGTGCTCTCACTTTTTTCTTTTCATTAATATTTAAATCACCATTTTTATTGTCCAGAAAATTTTTGCAATCTATTAGTCCGTAATGTAGACACGTCTCCTTGGACTATTTCAGGATAAAAATTTAGCCAAATAACACATTTTACCTTAGGGGGAAAAAAAGCAGCACTTAATTTCCTCTACACACAGGTTAAGTTTATTCCTCATGGATGATTTAGAAGGGTTTCTTGTTGTATATATTATATGGAAAAGACATTATTTGTAAATATGTGATAAGATTATATTGTATGCTTATTAGGTTGGGATGTCATCAAGCTCTCAAAGTTTCTGAAAGTATGGGGCAGCTGATGAGTGAGGATAGATGACAAAAGAGAAAAGTCAATAGTTTGACTGTGGAAGATGATCAGATCACACTTGAAATGGAAAGCTTCCCTGTTACCAGAAGAGAACTATGTCCTGAAAAGAAATAGTGTTCTGTCCTGTTGGCCCCTCCGAACTGGATTAAAAGTAATGGATTTTAAAATTTATGCTTAATGAAAGAATAAAACATCTCAAATTACTACAGCAAAGATAAAGATAAAGAGACCCAGAAGAATCACTAGTGTAATTTTTGGAGAACCATTTCTCCCCACCATCAATTTATATTGTTATGGCTTTTATCTTACATATTGGATGTCGAAAGTCATTTTCCAGGGCATTCAGAAGTTGTCTAAGACTCCGTGTGTGTGTGTGTGTGTGTGTGTGTGTGTGTGTGTGTACTATCTGTGCCCAATGAAAAAAGTAAACCATCTTTCTTGCTAGAAATGGTGGCCATTGTTTTTACTTTAGGTTGAACATATTTTGGTGTTGGTGATAGGATTCTAGAGGACCCTTCCCTGGGTTTGATGGGGTGGGAAGAACCATATAAGAAGTTATTCAGGGGCCGGGTGTGGTAGCTCATGCCTGTGGTCCCAGCACTTTGGGAGGCCAAAGCGGCGGATCATGAGGACGGGAGTTTGAGACCAGCCTGGCCAATATGGTGAAACCCCATCTCTGCTAAAAATACAAAAAGTTAGCTGGGCATGGTGGTGGGCGCCTGTGGTCCCAGCTGCTCGGGAACCTGAGGCAGGAGAATTGCTTGAACCTGGGAGATGGAGTTTGCAGTGAGCCGGAATTGCACTCCAGCCTGGGTGACAGAGTGAGACTCTGACTCAAAAGAAAGAAGAATAAGAGGAGGAGGAGGAGGAAGAAGAAGAGGAAGAGGAAGAAAGAAGAAGAAGAGGAGTAGGAGGAGGAAGAGGAAGAAAGAAGAAAGAAGAGGAAGAGGAAGAAAGAAGAAGAAGAGAAGAAAAAGAAGAGGAAGAGGGGGAGGGGGAGGGAAAAGAGGAAGAGGAAGAAGAAGAGAAGAGGAGAAGGAGAAGAAGAAGAAGGGAGAAGAAGAAGAAAGAAGGAAGAAGAAGAAGAGGAAGAAGAAGAAGGAAGAAGAAGGAAGAAGAAGAAGAAGAAGGAAGAAGAGGAAGAGGAAGAAGAAGAAGATGATGATGATATTCAGGAGATCAGCTCAAGATGTGCAGGCCAAGCCTGAACATGTCATTGGTGCAAACCCAAGTATTGTTGATGTTCTTCAACAGGAACATCTATATGGTGGAACCCCCCGATGGGGTCTTCATCCACCTTAAGCTGGCCCACAACCAGGCTGATGATGCAGCTGGCGTGGGCTGATGGTCCTGTGCTGTGATGCTGTGCTGGATTTTTTGGAAGGGATGACTAGACAACTTCTCCACAATGGCAGCTTTCCCCTGGAACTGCTGTCCTTCCCACGTAAGGCATGGCACATCAATGTAAATTGCACCTAGTTGGGTTTTATCATTATGAAATAACTGGTAGTAATGCTGAATGAAGCTGGATCCAATCTGCTCCCAGATTGGCTCATCTCCCATTCTGGAGCATCACCCAGCCTCATTGAGATCTGAAGGGTTGGCACAGTGGCAGTGGCAGCATGACAACCCAGCACAGTCTGCCAAGACTGAGCTTCTTCAAAAACTATTTGTGAAAACTGCTGGGTGTGGTGGCTCACACCTGTAATCCCAGTGCTTTGAGAGGCCAAGGTGGGAGGATCGCTTGAGGCCAGGAGTTCAAGACCAGCCTGGGCAGCATAGTGAGACCTTGTCTCTACAGAAAAGTAAAAATAAAAAAATTAGCCAGTTGTAGCAGCACATAACTGTAGTCCCACCTGCTTGGGAGGCTGAGGCAGGAGGATTGCTTGGGCCCAGGAGTTCCAGGCTGTAGTGAGCTATGATTGCACTGCTGCACTTCAGCCTGAGTGACAGAGCAAGATCCAGGCTCATTTAAAAACAAAAAGAAAAACTATTTGCAGAAGCTGAATCATGTAGAAGGAGTAGCAAAAACAAACAACGAACTAGAAAATTAGTTTTATATAAAAAGAGAATGGAAGAGTTGGGGATATGCTTGGAGAAGCAATAGCTGATAAAATGAGTTGAATAATATTATATTCTTGAATACTATGTTGTCTAAATTCTATGAAGCATCTTGGTGAGAATAATGCTGTAGTTGTTCTATTACTAACTGAAGACAATATACAAGAAATTGATTTAAGTGAAAATAAGCAAACAAACAAAAAAATCAAACAATTTGTTGCAGGGGAAGATGTCTTGACCAGGGGACAATGAAAGGCTAGTGTAGGCTACCTGAGGTATCTACGGTAGATATCTCTATTAGAATGTGTCACTCCAAACATATTCTTCCTTAAGCTGTATTGGCCCTCAGAGATTCATTGCCTGACTCATACATGATAGTCAATAAATATTTTAGGAATGAATGTATGACTGGAGCCTTTTTCTCCCCAGCCTGGGAATTCATGAATGTCTTGCTAAAAGAGATGATAGCTGAAGAGTAGACCAATGTTTTGGATGGAATAATGGATTTTAAGAAGTCATGACTTTGTTAAAAGCTATAAAAAAGAAAATGAGTTGTCTGGCTTCCAGCCTCCTGCTTAGGTCAAAAGTCATGTCTCCTTTTGGTCATTTTCTTCATGAAAAAAAATTATTATTAGCATATGTTTTCTCAATTTAAAAAAATTATTTTGGGTCAAAATATGTCAATATGTATTTAAATAACAATGTTTTAAAGTTTTCAGGCAGTGTTTCTCTTGGGTCTTTAATTTTGTGAGCTATTTGGGTGATATACCATAATTATTTTTAGAATGGTTTCATTATGTTTATAGTTTTAAAAGGAAGCAGTCATAAAATTTGCCTTTGAGGTCTCCTAAAAATAAGAGTTTGCTTGAGGGAGCAAGACTTACATGACCTTTTGATTTTTACAGGACAGTTCACTCAGAATTGTGTGTGAAGTGGTAGTAAAGGACAGATAGACAATTATTTGCCTATTTTAATATCATATTTGTGGGGGGAGGGGGGAGAGATAGCATTAGGAGATATACCTAATGCTAAATGACAAGTTAATGGGTGCAGCACACCAGCATGGCACATGTATACATATGTAACTAACCTGCACATTGTGCACATGTACCCTAAAACTTAAAGTATAATAATTTTAAAAAGTCACAAAAAATATATATATCATATTTGAAGCATTCACCAGTAGAAAGCATAGAAAAGTAAGTCAATTGTCTGTCCAACAATGATCTAGATGAGCTAATGCACTTGCTGTAATATCTGAGAAAACTTGAACTTTTGAAAACTGATTCTTTGTTATGAGAACTAGGAATAAAATTGAGAGACTTCATAAGATTTTTATCCTCAATGAACATAAAAGAGAAAATTTTTTTTACCTTACCTACTTAATAATGCATTAGGTTTTAGTAACGCTTCTAGAAATTTAAGTTTGAAATTTGCACCTTTAATATGTTTAAGATAAATGGATAAATAGTTCTCTGTAGCTATGAAAACCTAATATGGAGTAATCCAAATTTCACATTTGCATTATTATCATTAAGGCTGATGTGTACTGTTGGCATGTGCACAATATGAATAATTCTATGCTATTGTCTCAGTTATCAGTATATTCTCTCTCTCTACTTTTTAAAAGGCTAACCATTTTATAAATTCTAGCTTAAATCACTTCTCTTCCATGATACTTTCATCCCAGTCATGAGCTACAAGTGATTTTTCTTTACCCTAACCTCCAATATTATTTATTGCTTAAGACTCTCTGGTTATCATTTGAAGAAGCCTACTAATGTTGTTTAAGTCAACAGTAGGAAATGTATTATTGTGATGCTGTGCTATCTTTCAGAACATCAAAGTAGAAACTGTCTAGCCCTCAGAAGGCTACTATGAATTGGAACTAGACCCAGGAACCAAAATCAGAATAATAATGATAGGAAAGATTTATGTTATTGTATTAGTCTGCTTGGGCTGCCATTACAAAATACTATAGACTGGGTGACTCAAAGGACAGAAATTTATTTCTCACAGTTCTGGAGGCTGGGAAGTCTAAGATCAAGGTGCCAGCCAATTTGGTTTCTGATGAGGGCTCTGTCTTCTCACTGTGTCCTCATATGGCCTTTCCCTGGTACATGTGTGTGGGGAAAGAGATTACTCCCTCATTCTCTTCATATAAGGTCATCAGTCCTATTGGATTAGCTTTATGACTTCATTTAACCTTAATTTCTTTCTAAAAGCTGACTCCAAATACAGTCACGTTGAGGGTTAGGGCTTCAACATATGAATTTGGGGGGTGGGGAGTTAGTTCTTGCAACACTATGAAGAAGTAACTGAAGCTGGGTAATTTATAAAGAAAAGAGGTTTGATTGGCTCACAGTTCTGCAGGCTGCACAGGAAGCACGGTGCTGGCATCTGCTTGGCTTCTGGTAAGGCCTCAGAAAGCTTACAATCATGGTGAAAGGCAAAGGGGAGCAGGTGCATCCTATGGTGAGAGAGGAAGCAAGGGGTGGAGGAGGTGCCACACTCTTTTAAACCAGGTCTTGCATTAACTCAGAGTGGGAGCCCACTTATGGGGAGGACAGCACCAAGCTATTAATGAGGTATCTGACCTCATGACCCAAACACCTCCCACCAGGCCCCTCCTGTAACACTGGAGATTACATTTCAACCTGACATTTGGAGGGAGCAAACTTCCCAAACCATATCCTTCTGCCCCTGGTTCCTCAAATCTCATGTCCTTACATGCAGAATACAATCATCCCATCTCAATAGTCCCCCAAAGCCTTAACTTATTCCAGCATTAACCAAAAGTCCCAAGTCCAAAGTCTCGTCTGGAGATTAGTTCTTTCCTATGAGCCTGTAAGATTAAAAAAAGTTATTTACTCCCAAGATACAATGGTGGTGCACTTATTGGGTAGACATTCCCATTCCAAAATGGAGAAATCACCCCAAAAAAAGGGGCAATAGGCCCCACACAAGTCTGAAACTCAGTAGGGCAGTCATTAAATCTTAAAGCTCCAAAATTATATATATATATATATTTTTTTTTTTTTTTTTTTTTGAGACAGAGTCTCACTCTGTCACTGAGGCTGGATTGCAGTGGCGTGATCTCAGTTCACTGCAACCTCCGCCTCCTGGGTTCAAGCAATTCTCCTGCCTCAGCCTCCTGAGTAGCTGGGACTACAGGCATGTGCCACCACGCCCACGTAATTTTTTGTATTTTTAGTAGAGACTGGGTTTCACCACGTTAGTCAGGATGGTCTCAATTTTCTGATCTCATGATCCGCCTGCCTTGGCCTCCCAAAGTGCTGGGATTATGGGCTTGAGCCACTGCTCCTGGCCCAAAATAATCTCCTTTGACTTAATGTCCTGCATTCAGGGGTGGACTCCTAAGGCCTTAGGCAGCTCAACTCTATAGCTTTGCTGGATGCAGCCCACAGGGCTGCTCTGATGGGTTAGAGTCCAGTGCCTGTGGCTTCTCCAGACTGAGGATGCAAGCTGCTGCTGCCTCTACCATTCTTTGGCCTGGAAGGCAGTGGCCCCCTTCTTACTGCTCCACTAGGCAGTGCCCTGGTGGGGACTCTGTATAGGGTCTCCAACCTCACACGTCCCCTTGGTGCTGCCCTACTAGTAGAGCCTCTCTGCGGGGGCTCTACCCCTGCATCAGGCTTCTGCCCAGGCACCTAGGCTTTCCCATACATTATCTGAAATCTAGACAGAAGCTGCCAAGTCTCCTTCACCCTTGCATTCTGTGCAGCCACAGGCTTACTGCCACATGAAAGCTGCCAAGGATTACGGCCTCACTCTCCAAAGTGGCAGCCAGAGCTGTACCTGGGGCCTTTGAGCCACATCTGGAGCTGGAGCAGCCTGGTTGCAGGGAGTAGCCTCCCAAGGCTGAGCAGGGCAGCAGTGTCCTTGGCGTGGTCCCTGAAATCATTCTTTCATCCGAGGCTTCTGGGCCTGTGATATGAGGGGCTGCCTCAGAGATTTCTGAAATGCCTTCAAGACCTCTTTTCCCATTGTCTCGGATATTAGCATTTGGTTCCCTTTTAGTCATGCTAGTCTCTTTAGCAAGTGGTTCCTCCACAATCTGCTTGTATTCCTTTTCTACCATGTACCAGGATGCAAATTTGTCAAACTTTTATGCTCTGTTTCCCTTTTAAATATGAATTCCAACTTTAAGTCATTTATTTGCTCCTGTATCTGATGATAGGCTCTTAGAAGCAGCCAGGCCACATCTTGAACACTTTGCTGCTTAGAAATTTCTTCTGCCAGATACCCTAGGTCATCACTCTTAAGTTCAAACTTCCACAGATTCCTAGGACATGAACACAATGCAGCCAAGTTCTTTGCAACAGCATAATGGATAACCTTTACTCGCGTTCCCAGTAACTTATTTATTTCCATCTGAGAGCTCTTCAGCTTGGACTTCACTGTCCATGTCTCTATCAACATTCTGGTCATAACCATTTAACTAGCTTCTAAGAAGTTGGAAACTTTCCTTCATCTTTCTGTCTTCTTCTCAGACCTCCAGACTCTTCCAACTTCTGCCTGTTACCCAGTTCCAAAACCACTTCCACATTTTCAGGTATCTTTATAATAATACCCCACTCCTGGTACCAATTTTCAGTATTAGTTCTTGCTTTACTCTAAAGAAATACCTGAGGCTGGAGAGCAGTCAGACAAGAGGGGGAAATAAAAGGCATCCAAATCAGTAAAGAGGAAGTCAAACTGCTACTGTTTGCTGATGATATGATTGTATACCTAGAAAACCCTAAAGACTCCTCCAAAAAGCTCCTAGAACTGATAGAAGAATTCAGCAAAGTTTCCACATACAAAATTAATGTACACAATTCAGTACCTCCCCTATACACCAACAGGAACCAAGCTGAGAATCAAATCAAGAATTCAACCCCTTTTACAATAACTGAAAAAGAAATACTTAGGAATATACATAATCAAGGAGGTGAAAGACCTCTGCAAGGAAAACTACAAAACACTGCTGAAAGAAATCATAGATGACACAAACAAATAGAAACACGTTCCATGCTCATGGATGGGTAGAATCAATATTGTGAAAATGGCCATACTGCCAAAAGCAATCTACAAATTCAGTGTAATCCCTATCAAAATATCATCATCTTTCTTCACAGAATCAGAAAAAAAATCCTAAAATTCATATGGAACCAAAAAAGAGCCCACATATCCAAAGCAAGACTAAACAAAAAGAACAAATCTGGAGGCATCACATTACCTGATTTCAAACTACACTATAAGGCCATACTCACCAAAACAGCATGGTACTGTATAAAAATAGGCACATAGACCAATGGAACAGAATAGAGAACCCAGAAATAAATCCAAGTACAGCCAAATGATCTTTCACAAAGCAAACAGAAACATAAAGTGGGGAAAAGACACCCTATTCAACAAATTGTGCTGGGATAATTGACTAGCCACATGTAGAATAATGAAACTGGATCCTCATCTTTCACCTTATACAAAAATCAACACAATATGGATCAAGGACTTAAATCTAAGACTTGAAACTATAAAAATTCTAGAAGACAATATCAGAAAAACCCTTCTAGACATTGGCTTAGGCAAGGATTTTTTGACCAAGTACCCAAAAGCAAATGCAATAAAAACAAAGATGAATAGCTGGGACTTAAATAAACTAAAGATCTTTTGCATGGCAAAAGGAACAGTCAGCAGAGTAAACAGACAACCCACAGAGTGGGAGAAAATCTTCACAATCTATACATCTGACAAAGGACTAATATCCAGAATCTACAATGAACTCAAACAAATTAATAAGAAAAAACAAACAATCCCATCAAAAGTAGGCTAAGGACATGAATAGACAGTTCTCAAAAGAAGATATACAAATGGCCAACAAACATACGAAAAAATGCTCAACATCACTAATGATCTGGGAGATGCAAATCAAAACCACCTTAGTCCTACAAGAATGGACATACTTAAAAATAGAAAAATAATAGATGCTGGCATGGATGTGGTGAACAGGAAACACTTCTACATTGCTGATAGGAATGTAAACTAGTAAAACCACTATGGAAAACAGTGTGGAGATTCCTTAAAGAACTAAAAGTAGAACTACCATTTGATCCAGCAGTCCCACTACTGTGTATCTACCCAGAGGAAAAGAAGCCATTATTCAAAAAAGATACTTGTACACGCAAGTTTACAGCAGCACAATTCACAATTGCAAAAATGTGAAACTAATCCAATGGCCATCAATCAACAAGTGGATAAAGAAACTGTGGTATATATCTATGATGGAATACAACTCAACCATAAAAAGAAATGAAGTAATGACATTTGCAGTCACCTGGATGAGATTGAAGACTAATATTATTATTTTTTTTTTTTTTTACTTTAAGGTCTGAGATACATGTGCAGAATGTGCAAGTTTGTTACATAGGTATACATGTTCCATGGTGGTTTGCTGCATCTATCAACCCATCATCTAGGTTTTAAGTCCTGCATGCATTAGGTATTTGTCCTAATGGTCTCCCTCTCCTTGCTCCCCACCCCCTGACAGGCCCCAGTGTGTGATATTCTCCTCCCTGTGTCCATGTGTTCTCATTGCTCAGCTCCCACTTATGTGTGAAAAAACGTGGTGTATGGTTTTCTGTTCCTGTGTTAGTTTGCTGAGAATTATGGCTTCCAGTGTCATCCATGTTCCTGCAAAGGACATGAGCTTATTCTTTTTTATGGCTGCATAGTATTCCATGGTGTATATGTGCCACATTTTCTTTATCCAGTCTACCATTGATGGGCATTTGGGTTGGTTCCAAGTCTTTGCTATTGTAAATAGTGCTGCAATAAACATACATGTGCATGTGTCTTTATAGTAGAATGATTTATAATCAGCCAGGCGCGGTGGCTCAAGCCTGTAATCCCAGCACTTTGGGAGGCTGGGGTGGGCAGATCATGAGGTCAGGAGTTCGAGACCATCCTGGCCAACATGGCGAAACCCTGTCTCTACTAAAAATACAAAAAAATTAGCCAGGCGTGGTGGCGGGCACCTGTAGTCCCAGCTACTCAGGAGGCTGAGGCAGGAGAATGGCGTGAACCCGGGAGGCAGAGCTTGCAGTGAGCCGAGATTGCGCCACTGCACTCCAGACTGGGGGACAGAGCCAGACTCCGTCTCAAAAAAAAAAAAGAATGATTTATAGTTCTTTGGGTATATACCCAATAATGGGATTGCTGGGTCAAATGGTATTTCTGGTTCTAGATCCTTGAGGAATCGCCGCACTGTCATCCACAACGGTTTAAATAATTTACACTCCCACCAACAGTGTAAAAGCATTCCTATTTCTCCACAGCCTCGCCAGTATCTGTTGTTTCCTGACTTGTTAATAATCACCATTCTAACTGGCGTGAGATGGTATCTCATTGTGGTTTTGATTTGCATTTCTCTGATGACCAATGATGATGAGCTTTCTTTCATATGTTTGTTGGCTGCATAAATGTCTTCTTTTGAGAAGTGTCTGTTCATATCCTGTGCCCACTTTTTGATTGGGTTTTTTTTTTCTTGTAAATTTGTTTAAGTTCCTTGTAGTTTCTGGATATTAGCCCTTTGTCAGATGGATAGATTGCAAAAATTTTCTGCCATTCTTTAGGTTGCCTGTTCACTCTGATGATAGTTTCTTTTGCTGTGCAGAAGCGCTTTAGTTTGATTAGATCCCATTTGTCAATTTTGGTTTTTGTTGCAATTGCTTTTTAGTTATGAAGTCTTTGCCCGTGCCTATGTCCTGAATGGTATTGGCTAGGTTTTCTTCCAGGGTTTTATGGTTTTGGGTTTTACACTTAAGTCTTTAATCCATCTTGAGTTAATTTTTGTATAAGGTATAAGGAAGGGGTCCAGTTTCTGTTTTCTGCATCTGGCTAGCCAGTTTTCCCAGCACCATTCATTAAATAGGAAATCCTTTCTCCATTGCTTGTTTTTGTCAGGTTAGTTGAAGATCAGATGGTTGTAGACATGTGGTGTTATTTCTGAGGTCTCTATTCGGTTCCATTGGTCTATATATCTGTTTTGGTACCAGTACTGTGCTGTTTTGGTTACTGAAGCCTTATAGTATAGTTTGAAGTCAGGTAGGATCCCTCCAGCTTTGTTCTTTTTGCTTAGGATTGTCTTGGCTATACGGACTCTTTTTTGGTTCCATATGAAATTTAAAGTAGTTTTTTTCTACTTCTGCAAAGAAAGTCACTGGTAGCTTGATGGGAGTAGCACTGAATCTATAAATTACTTTAGGCAGTAAGGCCATTTTCATGATATTGATTCTTCCTATCCATGAGCATGGAATGTTTTTCCATTTGTTTGTGTCCTCTCTTATTTCCTTGAGCAGTGGTTTGTAGTTATCCTTGAAGAGGTCCTTCACATCCCTTGTAAGTTGTATTCCTGGGTATTTCATTCTCTTTGTAGCAATTGTGAATGGGAGTTCACTCAGGATTTGGCTCTCTGTCTGTTGTTGGTGTATAGGAATGCTTGTGATTTTTGCACATTGATTTTGTATCCTGAGACTTTGCTGAAGTTGCTTATCAGCTTCTTATCAACTGCACTGAGTTTGGGGGCTGAGATAATTGGGTTTTCTAATATATACAACCATGTAGTCCGCAAACAGACAATTTGACTTTATTCTAAGTGAAGTAACTCAGGAATGGAAAACCAAACATCGTATTTTCTCACTGATAAGTGGAAGCTAAGCTATGAGGATGCAAAGGCGTAAGAATGATACAATGGACTTTTGGGGAAAGGGTGAGGGACTCAGGAAAGCGTGAGAAGGGGGTGAAGGATAAAAGACTACAAATTGGGTGCTGTATATACTGGTCGGGTGATGGGTGCACAAAAATCTCACAAATCACCACAAAAGAACTTACTCATGTAACCAGACACCACCTGTTCCCCAGTAACCTATGGAAATTAAATTTTTTTTTTTTAATTTTAAAGAAATACCTTAGGCTGTGTAATTTATGAAGAAAAGAGGTTTAATTGGCTCTTGGTTCTGCAGACTGTACAGGAAGCATGGTGCTGACATCTGCTCAGCTTGTGATAGTCCTCAGGAAGCTTACAGTCATGGTGAAAAGGCAAAGGGGGGCTGGTATATCACATGGGAGCAAGAGAGGGAGCCATGAGGGTGGGGTGTCACATTCTTTTTGGTTTGTTTTTTTTTTTTTAGATGGGGTCTCGCTCTGTTGCCCAGGCTGGAGTGCAGTGGTGCGATCTCGGCTCACTGCAACCTCTGCCTCCCGGGTTCAAGCGATTCTCCTGCCTCAGCCTCCAGAGTAGCTGGAATTAAGGCATGCGCCACCATGCTCAGCTAATTTTTCTATTTTTGGTAGAGATGGGTTTCACCATGTTGGCCAGGCTGGTCTTGAACTCCTAACCTCAGGTGATCCACCTGCCTCGGCCTCCCAAAGTGCTAGGATTACAGGTGTGAGCCACCATGCCTGGCCCCACATTCTTTTAAACAATCAGATCTCACAGGAACTCAGAGCAAGAAGTTACTTATTATTGTGAGGTTCCAAGCTATTCATGAGGGATCCACCCCCATGACCCAAACACCATGGGTGTTTGGCCCTACCTGGAACACTGGGGATTACATTTCAACATGAGATTTCAAGGCACAAACATCCAAACAATATCAGCAAGGACATAATTCAGTCCATAACATCATGCTTCCTAGATGTTAGCCCTTATTATAAGCACTTTGGATATAAAGTCTTTCCTTAGTTTCCATGGGGGAAAACTTACAGGACCCCTATGGACACCAATATTCACAGATACTCAAGTGCCTTATATTAAATGGCCATAGTGTCTGCACATAACCTATATACATCCTCTTGTATACTTTAAATCATCTCTAGATTAATTATAATATCTAATACAGTGTAAATGCTATATAAATATTTGTTATACTCTATTGGTTTTTTGTGTTTTTTTATTGTATTGTTATTTTTATTGATTTTTTAAAATATTTTTGATCTGTGGTTGGTTGAATCCACAGAAGCAGAATCCATGGATACAGAAGGTGAACTGCATTGTCTTTAATGTTCACAAACACCCTATAAAATAGATAGTATTTTACCACCATTTCATAAATAAGGAAAACAAAGAAAACATGAAGTAAGTAACTTGTCTGAGGTTACATAGTTTATAAATGATGAAGCCAAGTTTAAACACAGCTGTGTGGTTATAGAGTTCATGCCCTTGAACACTGAGCTAAACTGCCCTGCTGAAGCCAACAGGACTCCCTTCTGTCATCTCTGTTTCTATCTAGGTGTTTGCTCTACCTCGCAGCGTAGCTTTCTCTGATTCTTAAGTCCATGGGAGAAACATCCCCAGCCCTCAGCCCCAGAGATTCCATGTTTCAATTCTCAATCCCCATCCTGTATGTCTGGGACAGAGAATTCTACCACCATCGTGGGTCAGCTTTGCCCTGCATAGTGCCTGACAATATTGATTGAAGAAGTGAATACTTGAGTGGTCACTATGTATTACTCCAACTGCCTCTACTCTATATGTGTAACTGTAACTGGCAAAATGGATGAGTCATGCTCTATTGGTGCTTACTGGTCTTGTTATCCTGTTATTCTCCCCTGAGATGGCACCTCGATTCAGATGCTTTCCTTTGAAACAACTTTAATTGATATGGGTGTTTTTTATCAAATGTTTTTTTCTTCTTCTTGCCCTGAGGAAATGTTTGCAAAGAATATATTTTCATATCCCTTTTCTTCAAGTTATGAAATGAAAGCTACCCAATTGGGGGTAGGGGGTGGGGTTGATGAAAGCCAGAAAGGGTGAATAATGCCTGTTTGTGTGTTTGTTTGTTTGTTTAACTCCATTGACCTTTTATTTAACCCTTCTTTTCCTATGGGAACTGTCAGAGGTTTGGGCAGCATGGCAGCTTTTTGGGATAAGTGTTAGTTACACACTGTGAAAGAAGTTTGGCTGAACTAATCCTTTTGTAGGGAAGCCTTATGTTTGGCTGTCAGTGGTTTCCTGGACGTATTTATACCCTACCTCAATTCTAAATCCTCTCTATCTGATTAGACCAATAACTAAAAACATGCAGTTTGTAGGTAGATGGTCTTCGCTTCAGCTCCCATTTCTATCAGTTTACAAGCTTTGTGACCTTTGGCAAGTTACTGAACTTCTCTGTGTCTGTGTACTGAGCTATAAAATGAAAAGGATCAAAGGATCTTTACATCGTAAAACTGCTATGAGATTTAAATAAAAATGTATTTAAGTATCTTGTCTGTGTTAGAAGCTCAACAATTGGCTTTCTTCTCATTTCCTTATTAGGAGAATGTAACCGTAATAAAAATATGTAGTGGACTAGATCCTTCTAGGAAGTTGTCATTCCCTACAAACACAAGAGCATTTCAAAGGAATATTTAGTATTTCAAGATATTAGAGTGTATTAGGGAAATAACTTAGGTTTTTTCTAGGTGCCCTTAAAGAAGTAAACTAGACACAGCCTCCACTATTGTGGACCAAATGCATTAACCAAGTCCAAAAACTGTAGAAATAACTACGGAAAAATCACTGTAACTGCATTATCAGATTACTACTTGAGGCACAATTCATGAAGGCTAGAAAAAATGTATAACCTTAGATCCTACCTACTTCTATTCAAAATTTGAGAACCAAAGCCCAGATGGTTCTATTTACCATCAAAATTATCTCACCTTTAACTTACAATACAGATAACAAAATAGCTGACAAGATCAGCAGAACCGATGCACTCCATTCATAATATTGTTTCTCTGAAAATGATTTTCCACTTCAATGCAACATGGACTAAAGACTATAGCAAGTAATCTTTTATTTCCTTTCTTTCTTCTTCTTTTTTATTTCTTATTTTCCTAATTGGTGCCAATAGATACCATTCTTTTGGTTGCTAACAGACAATAGTTCAACTCAGTGGATTGCATCTTACATTTCAGTTAATGTTCAGAGTTTAGAAACACACCCTTAACAAGGCCGGGCGCGGTGGCTCACGCCTGTAATCCCAGCACTTTGGGAGGCCGAGGCGGGCGGATCACGAGGTCAGGAGATCGGAGATCGAGACCATCCTGGCTAACATGGTGAAACCCCATCTCTACTAGAAATACAAAAAAGATTAGCTGGGCGTGGTGGCAGGTGCCTGTAGTCCCAGCTACTCGGGAGGCTGAGGCAGGAGAATGGCGTGAACCCAGGAGGTGGAGCTTGCAGTGAGCCAAGATTGTGCCACTGCACTCCAGCCTGGGTGACAGAGCAAGACTCCGTCTCAAAAAAAAAAAAAAAAAAGAAACACACCCTTAACAATGTGAAAGAAATAAAGAATACATAAAATGAAGTCCTGGCCGGGCGCGGTGGCTGCGCCTGTAATCCCAGCACTTTGGGAGGCCGAGGCGGGCGGATCACGAGGTCAGGAGATCGAGACCATCCTGGCTAACATGGTGAAACCCCGTCTCTACTAAAAGTACAAAAAAAATTAGCCGGGCGTGTTGGCGGGCGCCTGTAGTCCCAGCTACTCGGGAGGCTGAGGCAGGAGAATGGCGTGACCCCGGGAGGCAGAGCTTCCAGCCTGGGTGACTCCGTCTCAAAAAAAATAAAAATAAAAAAATTAAAAATAAAATGAAGTCCTAAAATTCACGGAAATAGGTTTATCCTTACTGACTAAAAGCCCTAAATAAGTCTAAACATCTCATTTTGTTCAAGGATTTCTGGGGTTGCATTGAGTTCTCCTTACTCTTAGAGAGATTTAATCAGACCATATAATCAGATAGTTTGTCCTAAGAGCAAGCAATAACTACTAAATTTAGGAATGTTCATAAGAAAACAGTGAAGAAGAAAAAAAGGAATATACATTTTACATTTTAAGGAATTGGAATGATTTAACTTAGGAAGGAATAACTTTGAGAAGAACTAATAGTCTTCCAACATATGAAATAATTTATTTAGGTAGTCCTCATAATATGTTTTCTATTTTTATAGGATATCAGGGGATAAGTCTGAATAGCAGCAGAAGACTTGGGGATTGATATTGGGGAGTTATTGTAAATGAGCTGTCAATCAATATAATTATTTTCTCAGAGACTTACATAATTAAAAAGGTGATTTTCATGTTGGAAACATTCATCTTGGCATTATTTTACATGAAAGCTATTTAATATTCTTTATTTTAATTATATTTGATTCTCCTCTGCCTAATGGTCTTTCCTGCCCTCTTCCTACCTTGCCAGCCTTGTTTTTCCTATCTGATTTTCCTCCTCATGTGCCCTCACAGTAGTTAATTCTACAAAGCCCAATTCCTGGTCCTTTGTTCTTTTTATACCTTTTTTTTTTTTCCATTTTTTATACCTTCAATTAATTGGCCCATCTGTCCCTAAGGTTCTGTAACATGACTTCATGTTTAACTTCCTTTTAATCTTATGTTTTCAAAAATATATAGTATTAGAAGATATACTGTAACCACCTCACCCTCACTAAGTTTTTTCTGCTTTCCCCTAAAAAAATTTTTTTAAAGCAGCAGAAGAAAAAGACTCCTCTTTCCCATTGTTTTTTTTTTTAGAGCTGCAAACTCACAAATCTTACAGGCTCCCAAAATAGGAGACCTCAAGTCACTTTTGAATATTTTGTCATCATCTCTGCATTGAATATGTCACCCATTCTTTCCTTAATAATATCTCTCAGACCTGTATTTTCACCTTCATTCCTACCATTGCTATTCTTACCACATTATATCTGCACTACTGCAGTTGCCTGTCTGTTCTATCTAGCTTCAATCTTCCACCTTCCTACTTCTTGCTGCAAATATGGCTACACCATTTTATTTTATTAATGATACACTCTTGCTCAAACTCCTTCAGTTTTCTTTTATTTATTTATTTATTTATTTATTTATTTATTTATTTATTTATTTTTTGAGACAGAGTCTCGCTCTGTCGCCCAGGCTGGAGTGCAGTGGCACAATCTCGGCTCACTGCAAGCTCTGCCTCCCAGGTTCACACCATTCTCCTGCCTCAGCCTCCCGAGTAGCAGGGACTACAGGCGCCTGCCACCACGCCCGGCTAATATTTTGTATTTTTAGTAGAGACAGGGTTTCACCATGTTAGCCAGGATGGTCTTGATCTCCTGACCTCATGATCTGCCGGCCTCGGCCTCCCAAAGTGCTGGGATTACAGACGTGAGCCACCGCGCCTGGCCTAGTTTTCTTTTGTATACTACACACCAAATTCAAACAGTTTTGCTTTGCTTCCATTAGGTTATATTGGTAGCACTAGGATCCTATTTGAGCACTGGACTAAGAAACCCAAGAGTCCTCATACCTTCCTCTACTATAAATCTCATGAGGCTCCAAAGGGAGATAAATACACAAAAAGGGATGGCAAATGAATAAAGATGAGTTGTATGTAACATTAACAAGGTGTCTGAAACCATCAGGCTATTCTCGAAAACTGATGAACAATTAGAAGTTTAGGCCTAAACATAGCTTCTCCATCTCCAAAAGCCAGATATTGCCACAAACAAATCATCAAGCATGAGATAATTAGAATTCCCCGGAAGCTAAGAGCTCTTAGGATTGGGGAAGATAGAGAGACCAAGAGACAGGCAGTAAGGAAGTAGGAATAAGGGCCTGCCTTGAAAAAAGTGTATCCCTTTGCCTGATAGGTGAAAAAATAGCATCAGCAGCAGAGGAGAGCTAGCTGAACCAAGAAGGCCTCAGTCCTGCTGCAGATCTAGTTTCAGTGGTAGAAGAGAAGAAGCAAAGAGCATTCATCCTTGTGTGTGACCTTTTGGCACACATAAGTAAAAATGGTCCAGTACAGATCAAGGCATCTCACCCAATCTGATCAGCAGCTCCTCCCTGCCCACTCACAACAGTTTACAAGGCTCTTTGGAAGCAAGCCCTTGGCAGCCTTATTTTTCATTGCTCTCAGTTTTGTTTTTTTTACTGCACTTTATACTGTCCATGCACATTTCCACTTCTTGGATTATATATTTTATTTATCCTATCCTTCATATATCCAGATCCTTGTATCCTTTCAAGACCAGTTTATGACTGGCCTCCTCATTGAACTCTACTATTGCTGCCCACAGTGATTATAAATGCCTCCAAATTTCTATGAATTTTATTATTATTTTACTCAGTTTTGCACTTAGTTGTCCACTAATCATTTTATTTCTGTATTAATGTTATGTATTATAGTATATATGTATGTAAACTCCTTGAATGCATGAACCATGTCTTTCTTTTCTTTCAAGTAAAGCTCCTAGCATAGTACCTATTGTATTGTAGAAACACAGAGCTACAAAGACAATAGAAAACAATTATTACTGATTATTGGTTGATTAAATAATTACCTTTTGATTCTTAAGTTATGTCTATGTGGTACTGTTAAAATAAAATCATAATGGAAGTATATAGCCTGTTCTACCTCCTTTAGACATTTGATACCAACCAGGAGTAATATTCAAAATACTTAACAGGCATTATCGAACTAGCACTGGCCAATCAGAACAGATTCTGACTGCTACAATATTAAATTTATGTTAGTTGCTTGACAGTGCAAACTCTAACTAGTTCAGAACTAAAATAAATTGAAAGTTTAGTCCCTGATTTGCCAGAGATTAACAATCTGTAGCCATATATTATATATCTTAGCTGACTTTTTATTAGCCTACCTACAAAGCCAATAAAAGCCAATTAAGCTAATTGAATACTTAACCTGATCATGCTTTCCTTTCCCCTCCTGCTATAATAGCCCTCCTGTTTATATATACCATATATGATTGCCTCTTTCATACGCTGTCTACTTCAAACTTTGATAGACTGATAAGCATCATATTTGGAATGTCATGGTTCACAGTACATGATAAGCATCTCCACTGGCTACTCCTGTAAGTTTGCTGTTACAATACGAAGCATTACTGAATAGCAGCCTGTGCCCTGGGAATGATATAATTAAGTCCCTTCTGATTACTTCTTAGGTAGAAATTACTTTTGGCCTATATGTTTTTAGATTACACATACTTTTACAAAAACATATTTTTGTAAAAGAACATTTTGTAAAGGACACATGTAAGAACATGTGTCCTGGAGAACTTGTATTCAGATTCAACCAGTTAAAACTAAACTAAATTGTTTGTAGAAGTAGCCCTCTACAAACTTCAATATCAACAAAGCAATTTAGGTGTTTTGTTACATTGAATCAGTGACACTATAATGTTACTTCACAATACTGCTACGCCATGACTATCATATGACAGCGATATAAAAGAAAGACTTTTTTTAACTTGTCAATTTACTTTTTAAAACATGTTTTTTGCATTGGTTTCATATTTTACCTGTCAAGTGGTGAAAATTTGTATTTCTAAACTAAACTGTAAAATATTATGGGGATTAGTGACTGTGTTTTTAAACACAATAGATTAGTTTCAAATCCCAAAATAAAAGCTACGGAATTTTTTTTAAAGGCAGAGAAATGTCTTGCTGGGTGCTAACACCTTCAGAAGCTATTATTACAGTGTAGCAGAGGAGGACTCTTGCAGATGGAGAGAGCAGTGTTAAGATTCACACCAGACCTTGTCCTTCTATGCCTTTTCCCCCTGTGCAAAGGAATCTGTCAAATCTTATTCCTTTCTTTGAAGAAATGCCTAAAGAATGTCAGTTCAGTCTGGCTACACTTAGACATCATGTGGAATATTGTGGATGCCTTCAAGAGAAAAAGACATTCTGAAAAATGTAATTTAGGGGTTATCAAAAGGAAGTATTTTGGCTTTTTGTGGCCGGGCTGAAAGTTTACTTCTTTTTCATAATAATGGTTTCTTACACTTATACTGTCCTTTTTTTTCCTTTCAAAGCATTTTAAGATTGAATATCTTTTTTAATTCTTATTATATTCTAGATTTGATTTGAAGTTATTTTACTATGTTTATAGTAAAACCACAGTACTGTTATTTTGTGTTTTCTGACCGCTAGCTTGTGTGGTTATTTTTCTAGATGGATTATTTTTCACTGTATGGACTATAGACAGCATGGCCCAATCTAGAATGACATAACTGTTTCTCTCAGTAATAATTATGAACATCGGAGTGTAATGTACTTTCAGTCAGTTCCTTCTGAATGTTCGACAAGACTCTCCAAACCCTGCTTTTCATGTTATGCTCATAATCTGCCTATGGAGGCCAAATGTCTCATCAGTAAAGTCTTCCTTGACCCCCAAAAGAGTTAGGCACTCTACCTTTCTTCTCTCAGAACATCTTGCACACAATATTGACATTGGGAATTCAATTATAGTTCTATGTCATATTTATCTCTGTATTCTCAGTACCTAGCTCAGTAAATGTTTGTTGAATGAATGAATGAATGAATGTACAAATGAACATGCGTGGTATGCTTTGTTGTGCCAAACTGGTACTTTATTTAAAGGCCATTCCACCTGACTGCTGCTGGGCTCCCACCCACTGAATCTCAAATTCACCAACATGATTGGGAGATACAAGAGCTACTTAAGGAATTTCCTTACTAACTTCAATTAAAATTAAAAATAGTAAGCCTTTTGTTTTTCAAAGAGTGCTTGTAGACCAGTATTTTCAGAAGAGAGGTCTAAGAATCAGAGAAAGTCCATTACGCTTTATGCAGGGCTATGGGATAATATAGAAGAGATATTAAAGTGTTGGGTAAATCAGCGTAGAGACTATAAATGCTGTTCTGAGAAAAGCTTTGAAAATAATGAAGAGGAAGAGTAGCATTGCCTCTTGTTATTACCTCAAGTAGAAAAAAGAAAAATTTAGGTGAAATAAATGTCAGATGGAATCTAATTCCTAATAAGCAGATAGTACTAAAGAAAACAAATAAAACTTTATTATTTGTTTTAATAAAGCATCCAAGATAGATTGTGCTCCTTCCTCCTTGCTCTAGAGTGGAGGCAACTAAGAAGTACTTTTTAAAATACTTGTGTCCTTTTTTTTTAATCTTTGAATTAAAAAAAAAAACAAGGCTTAAATCCATATGAGTGAATTTTCTGTGTGAAAAGTCAGCATGGACTAGAAAAAAGGCCCTTTAAAAATTATAAACTATGTTGGGCGCGGTGGCTCACGCCTGTAATCCTAGCACTTTGTGAGGCCGAGGTGGGCAGATCACGAGGTCAGGAGATCGAGACCATCCTGGCTAACACGGTGAAACCCCGTCTCTACTAAAAATACAAAAAAAATTAGCCAGGCGTGGTGGTGGGCGCCTGTAGTCCCAGCTACTCAGGAGGCTGAGGCAGGAGAATGGCATGAACCCGGGAGGCTGAGCTTGGAGTGAGCAGAGATCGCTCCACTGCACTCCAGCCTGAGTGACAGAGCGAGACTCTGTCTCAAAAAAAAAAGAAATTATAAACTGTGAGGCCAGGCAAAATGGCTCATGTCTGTAATCCCAACAATTTGGGAGGCCTAGGTCGGAGGATCACTTGAGCCCAGTTTGAGATCATCTTTGGCAATATAGTGAGACTGTCTCTACAAAAAATAAAAATAAAAAGTTAGACAAGTGACGTGGTGGATGCCTGTAGCCCCAGCTGCTTGGGAGGCTGAGGCAGGAGGATCGCTTGAGTCCAGGGCTAGACTGCAGTGAGCTATGATCATGCCACTGCACTCTAGCCTAGGCGAGAGAGTGAGACCCTGTCTCTAAAAAAAAAAAAAAAAAAAAAAAAGATTAATTATGTTAAAATGTTTTCTTGTTATATTCCATGTAAAGTATTTTTTGGCATTATCCTTCTTATGAGTTCAGAGGAACTATGGAAGAATCTTCTAGAGTTAATTTAATACCTGTTTATTTCTCCATATAAAGTCTCACTGGAGGGTTGTGAAGATTAATGAGATGTTTATAAAATGTCTGAGACCTCTGGAAGAAAGGTGATATGTAAATAGAGTATTAGTAGTAGTAGCTCTATGATAAACTAATGATTAAAATATCTTCCTTAGTTATCAGAAGTAATAAGTTAAAATCCATTGAGAGGTTTCTCTTCATTAGAAACTTTTCACGTATTTTTTTCTTCATGGTGTCAAATAGAGATCTTACTTTCAGCATGTAATTATCCACATCAAATTATAATTCCTTCAGACTTAAATATTTTATAGGCATATTCATTATTTGAGTTTAATTTTCTAATTATTTGTAAGGGCAAAATTCTGCATGATTCTCTCACTTTAGTTTTCTACTTTAAGACATGTAAGCATGAGAGTAATGTAGCAGCTGACTCCTAGAAGGTACTTTGGTAAAGATCTCTCCCAGAGTCTGGCAAGAAATAAAGAGATGTTCATAAAATTGGGAACTAAAGAAAATCTTACCTAAATGGCTATTCATTAAGATATCTTTTTTTTTTTTTTTTTTTTTTTTTTTTTTTGAGACGGAGTCTTGCTCTGTTTCGCAGGCTGGAGTGCAGTGGCACCATCTCTGCTCACTGCAAGCTCCGCCTCCCGGGTTCACGCCATTCTCCTGCCTCAGCCTCTCCAGTAGCTGGGACTACAGGCGCCCGCCACCACGCCCAGCTAATTTTTTGTATTTTTAGTAGAGACGGGGTTTCACCGTGTTAGCCAGGATGGTCTTCATCTCCTGACCTGGTGATCCCCCTGCCTCGGCCTCCCAAAGTGCTGGGATTACAGGCGTGAGCCACTGCACCCAGCCAAGGTATCTTTTTAAAAAAAATCACTTAGAAAACATTTTTTAAAGACTTATGGCAAATTAGTAAATATGAATTAAATGTATTCTGAGTCATTATTAGAATTAATTAGAAATTTTTATGAAGTGTGTTTATCTTATTTTTTAAGCTCATTGGAGATTTCCTGAAAAATTGTGATACCACTTTTTAAATGGGAAATCTGGAAGGGCTCTAGAGGCCACCATGTAATAAATTTAATTTAAATCCTTAATGAAATAGGAAAAAAAGTATAACTATATATAAAGTAATAGACTCATAGAATCTTGAATTATGAGTAGTCTTTCTAACACATTCATTGGTTGTATTGCACAGAACTCCCGAAGTAGTAAACACGGAGAAAAGTACAAGGACCATACACAGTAGTTGTCATGAGGACCCTTTTTTGTATGTCTCCACCCCTGTCACCTTTGAAATATAGATGCTATATATGTAGTAGTTACTTCTCTTTACTACTGTAGCTTCAGGTGAAACTATTTTAATCTATGTTTTGGACCACTCTAACTTAAAATTTCCATTCTTTTTTGTAATTCATAGGAAGAGTTTCATTTTTTTTTTTTTAAGAGAGGGTCTTGCTCTGTTGCCCAGGCTGGAGTGCAGTGGTGAGATCAGGGCTTACTGAAGCCTCGACCTCCTGGGCTCAAGCCATCCTTCCACCTTCGCCTCTCAAGTAGCTGAGACTACAAGCATACGCCACCACACCCAAATAACTTTTTAATTTTTGGTAGAGATGAGGTCCCACTATATTGCCCAGGCTGGTCTCAAACTCCTGAGCTCAAGCGATCTTCCCGCCTCTGCCTCCCAAAGTGTTGGGATTACAGGCACGAGCCACATGTGCAGCCTTTTTTTTTAAACTAACTTTATAGATTTACATTCCTACTCCATCATGAGACATCAACATTGGTTAACCTAAGCACTTCTACCATATATGTAAAGTTTATGCCAAATAATTTTGAGAAGTCAAGAGTTAAATTCAACCTGAACTAAAAAACACAGAAAAAAGATCTTCAAGAGAAGGAAGAAGGAAGTAACAATAACAAAAACAAAAACCCTTAATGCTAACAAAGCTGGGTAATACTGGACTTCAGATCAGCTGAACGTTTCCAGTTCTGCATGACAGCAAAGAGAATGGTGTGATTATGGCACCGTGCTCAGAGGCACGCTGTATTGCTGTACTGCATCAGGAAGGATAAACTGTCTATAAAAAGCTGGTGAAACTGCATAAGGAATGTGTTTGGGGCATCTCATTAAAGAACGAAGTTAATCATCTGGGAAAGAAATGGGGCAAGAAGGACTGAGGTATGCAGAAATAAATTCCAACAGGAACTGATATAATAGATTGTGGGTTTTGACTTCCGGGAATTTCCTTATGTAAATCAATAGTCAAGACATGAATAACTATAAGAATGGGTAGGTGTTAAAATGTGATGAAGAATACATAAAATAAATGGAAAGACTTAGAGTTCTTCAAGAAAAATTAATGAATATCACTAAGTGACAATTTTTCCAGAATCCTAGACAGATCATATTGATGTCCTTAGGCCCAGTACATCTGGAAACAAAGAAAAGGATACTTTGAAGGAATTGAGAGGCTTTCTGAAATGGATTGCCTGAGGTCAGAGGCTAAAACATAAGACCAGAAGATAACACAATTGTAAAGGAACTTTCCCCTTGAGATAGGGAAGGAGGTAAAAAAAAGAAGTAGGTAAAATAAATGAAAATTTGTATCTGAATTTTAATAGTGCTGAAATGAGGTGGAATCACTGCATAGAATCACTTCATTTATCCTAAATTTACAGGAAAAACATTTTTTTATAAATGAAGTCTTCAGATTACTTAAGTTTAATATTATCTAATAATATTAAACTTCATATTACTTAATTTATTATTAAATAATAAATTATTTAATTTAACATTATTTAAATATTTTAAATAAAATTCTTCTAAAGTATATTTCACTTTATCCTGAATTTTAAAAAGAATCTCCTGGCTGGGCGCGGTGGCTCACGCCTGTAATCCGAACACTTTGGGAGGCCGAGGTGGGTGGATCACGAGGTCAGGAGTTCAAGACCAGCCTGGCCAACATGGTGAAACCCTGTCTCTACTAAAAATACAAAAATTAGCTGGGCGTGATGGCAGGTGCCTGTAATCCCAGCTACTCGGGAGCCTGAGGCAGAGAATTGCTTGAACCCAGGAGGCGGAGGTTGCAATGAGCTGAGATTGTGCCACTGCATTCCAGCCTGGGCGACAGAGCAAGACTCTGTCTCAAAAAATAAAATAAAATAAAAGAATCTCCTGAAGATTTTATTTGTTCTTAAAGATGCATGGTGGCATGAACATTGATTATTTACTCTAAAATAGTAATTATCCCAAAGATTATTGGGGTTAATTGGACTATTTTTTCCAGCTTGGATTTCTGAGCATTTGCACTTGCTTTATGTAGGTCTTATGTCTCCTCCCTGGCTACCATTTGACTTGCTTTCACTTCTTGGTATCATTTATGAGCTGAGTCTAGTGACTCCCTCTCTGCTTCTTTCCAATTTGTCGTGTTCAACATATTACGGGCAGAAAATCCAGACAAGAAGCTTTGTGTGACCATAACTAAAGTAAAATAAGTTTTCAGGAAAGCAACTGAGAAACTGAGATTGTATGAGCTCAAGCATGCAGTTCTTTTAGGACTTATATTGGCTGCTCAGTAGCTTTATTTTGGAGAGGAAGGTGGGGAGGAGCTTACTTCCAGGTCCTTGACTGCATTCTGTGTAGTAAACATTGTGACATCACATATTTCTATATCTCAGTTAACTTGTTTGAAATTTTCAGTGTCGTCACTATTTCAAATATAAAAACGAAATGTAGAACATGTTCTAGAGCTAATGCTGTGAAGCTGTGCTTTATAATTGAAATCTTATTATCTATTTTATATTACTTGCAATAAATACTGTTAGTAATTACAGGAATGCATACTTTTTTATATGATTAGGTTTGCGTGAAAGCAGCTGCTCCCAGGAGGAAGTATAGTGTACATGCATAGTCATACTTGTAGCAAAATCTCCACTTTGAATAATTCATAATTAAGCCATTTCTTCTCTTCTTTAAGTTACCCCACAAGGTTTCAAGAAAAGTGTGGTAAGGAGTATTGGCTTATGCTTGCCTTTCCAGATATATGATTAGAACACCCCTTACAGAATTCGAGAAGGGAAAGCAAGGAAGGGATGATCACCTAGTAGGAATCTTTTTTTTTTTTTTTTTGAGACGGAGTCTTGCTGTGTCCCCCAGGCTGGAGTGTAGTGGTGCGATCTCGGCCCACTGCAACCTCCACCTCCTGGGTTCAAGCGATTCTCTGCCTCAGCCTCCCCAGTAGCGGGATTACAGGTGCACACCACCACGCACAGCTAATTTTTGTATTTTAAGTAGAGATGCAGTTTCACCATGTTGGCCAGGCTGGTCTTGAACTCCTGGCCTCATGATCTGCCCATCTTGGCCGCCCAAAGTGCTGGGGTTACAGGTGTGAGCCACCGTGCCCGGCCCATAGTAGGAATCTTAAGGAGAAGATGCATATGGAGTTCTAGGGGCAGTAAAGTAAATATATAAGGGAGGGAGAAAGGATTGAGGAAATGAAAGAAAGCATGTTTCCAACTAGTGAAAACAATGGAGTCCTTAGGAAACTTTATAAAGGATAAATGTTCAAGTATTGGCCCAAAAAAAGTGAGCATGTTTCAAAGAAAATAGAGTTTCTATTTTGATAAAGGTTTATTGCTACCTTAACTCATCCCTAAGCTTGCTGAGACAGCTTATAGAACAAAGGACATTAAGCTCTAAGCCTAGCTCTGTTACTAAAGAGCTTTCTAACCTGTAGCTAGTATTTAACCCAGACTTTAGTTCCCTCACTTATGAAATATTTAGATGAGATTATTTCTAATATCCTTTCCAACTCTAAAATTGTATGATTTTCTGAGGAGCAAATTTTAAAGCATTGGTTTAGAATTTGTAAGCCAACTAATGTCACAGTGAAAGTGTCCTCCTTTAATGTCTTACATTACTTTTGACTATCCTAGAGGCTTGCATGTTCATTTTTTCTCTTCCAAGAGAAACTGTCCCATCCTTCTCCTTTTAGTGAAAACAGTTCTAGGCTATTCCTTGTGCTGTAATATGACCCCAATCCTACCTCTCACACCATTAGTGGTCTTTTGCCCGAGTAAGGCAAAAAGACAATCTTTTCATTAATAATTCAATGGCTTTATCAAGTGTCTTGGCACAAATTAAAAACAAGAATAACACCTTGCCCAAAAATATAAGGGTTGGTCCAGTATTGGGCTGCTATGGTAAAAAGAATGGATAGAAGATATCATAAAATAAGAAGGACCATGATGTTCTACAGGAAAGCTAAAGTCTGTGAGAAACCAGACTCAAACAGGTTGAGAAGTTCTATGGAATGGTGGATTAAGTAGCCGCTTGATAACGTTCCCTTTATTGCTTACATTTATGTTCTAAGGATAATACTATTCAAATTGTTTAAGAGTACCACCACTCAATCAAGGTAAAGTTTTCCTGCTAATTACTTACTATGCATTGTAATGATAAAAGAAGTAAGAAAATGCACACACACACACACACACACACAAAGCTGAGACCAAGAAAATAATACTGTTTTGAGTGCTAGCATGGAATTCTTGAACAACTGCTGCTGAGTTTCTTTTAATTGCCTTCAATCCAGAATAAGACTGTAGTTCCAGTACTCATGAGGCATTTCTAAGATTTTATCTCCTACAGTGCACTTTGTACCTCCACAAAAAATCCCCATTTCTCGAATCTGAGTTACATGTAACCCTTCAAGTCTACTTAAGAGGTTGTTATACTTTCCAAGTCACTACCACCTCTACCAAATCCCTCAACAACATATTATTATTTTTTATTTTTATACTTTTTGATTAGCATTGCTGTCACTCCAATCAACAACCTTTTGAAGAAGTGCGGATCTCTCATTCATGAGTATGGAAACTCAGAGAATGTAAGTGACTTCCTTTTGTCTCTAACCTGTGTTCAAGCCTATAGGTAAGCAACTGCCAGATGTGGTATTTCTCTAACTAGACTTTTTACCCTCCCTGAGAACACTCCAGCCCCATAAATTTTTCCCAGAGATGTTACATGTTCCTAAGAAGTGACTTACATAAACACAAAAAACTAGTACCCTTACCTATTTATTATTTTTCTCCTCCTTTCCTGGTATGCTATGCTAATGTCATCTTTTCATGGTGATGCCTGCCCATGTCACTACTGACACTTATAATGCCCAGTATTGATGGCACTATATTTTATGCTAATGATGCCATTCTTTTCCCCAGTCACCAGCACTCCCCTGTCACTATCAAATCACCCCCATTCTTATCAGTCCTCAAATAGCTGTCATCAATGCATCTAATGTTTACCAACAGACTCTTTTTAGTCTTCTTTATGTTCTCTTTGCATATTTCTTGCACTAAAATTCAGAAATGATAAAGTCAAAACCATTACAAACCCCAGTATTCCTCCTACACACACACTTACACACATACCAGATATGCTTGCTCATTGACCCCGAACTAAACTAGTAAACATCTCTCTTTCCCTTTAGGTCAGGATGTATGTTCTTCCATTTCCACCTCCTGGCTCTTGACCTCATCTCTTGTAAATGGATCCCTCGTGGACCCACCCTACAGTCCTGCAGACATGCCCAGACATGGCTAAATCCCAGAGTGAACACAGATCTTGACATCTACTACACTACTAATTAGCAATGAAGTACTTTCCATTATATACACACAGCCTCTTTTGCAGATTGTTGCTGATGATTTACATAACTTGCCCTTTATTTCTAAAAAGAAAAAAAATTATATTTTAGTACATTGAATACATTGAGAACATTCAAAGATAAAAATATATCACTTATGTGGATGGCACTTTGTGGTCTTCCTTCCAAAAATCCATAACTGTGGTTTAACCATGAGAAAAACATTAGAAAACCCAAATCAAAGAACAATCTAGAAAAGTATCTGACTAGTACTACAAAACTGTCAAGGTCATCAAAACCAGGAAACTCAGAAACAGTCACCGTCAAAGGAGCCTAAGGAGATATGACTATAAATAATATGGTAACTGGCCAGGATCGTGCAACAGAAAAAGAGCATTAAGTAAAAATGAAGGAAATCTGAATTAAATATGTGCTTTAGATAATAATAAAATTTGTAAATATTGCCTTATTAGTTATGACAAGTATACCATGGTAATATAAGATGTTAACAATTAGAGAAACTGGATTCAGGTTATACAGGAACTTTGTACTATCCTTGCAAATTTTCTGTAAATCTGTAAGTTTATTAAAGATTTATATATGTTATATAGGTGTGTATATATATTCAAACAAATATGTATATTATATACTGTATATTTATTTATAAGTCAATTTTATATATGCATAAATCATGTATATGTGTGCACATATGATGTGTGTGTTATTCACCATTATGGAGTATATATCACTGCTTAGTTGGACAAAGATGAAAATAAAACTAATCCTAATGGATAGAATGAATAATCTTCTAAGGATCATATTCATTATTTAGGAGTAACTGCTCCCCTCCAACTAATAAACTCATTTTGTTATTTAACAGTGTGCAGTCATTTGCAAAGTCAAAAAAAATTTCAAGACGACCTTTACTAAAGGCTCTATGAGTAAACTGGTGCATCCAAAATTGTGGCAACACGTTAGAATATTCCAGAATTAATCCACAAAGTTTGAGCAACTTCTAGTGGCTGGAGGGGTGATACCTAGCTAATGATCAAAGAAAAACATCTGAAACTAAAGTAACATTTATCTCAGGGGGGAAACAGCTTTTTGAAGAAAAAAAAACCCTCTGTGTTCATTCTTGAAGAAGTCATAGAACTATTTGAAAGGAATATCTCCATGCTGATAACTATTGAATTTTAGACCATTTATCATGAGACTTTGGTTAGAAATAGTCTTCAGCCCTCATTTATCTTCTCTTTTACTCTATTGATTCTCAAACCAATGGATGGTTGAAGATTTTAAAGTCTAATTTCAGAACAGCAGGTCTATTTGAGGGGATTTAAGAAGGCTCCAGTGCAGGATTACTTTATAACCTTCTTTTCATTATGTTAATGATTATTTGCTAAATATGTCGTCATAATGGTTCTTCGGCTGTCACCTGAGGAAGTGTGATACTGCCTTGTTTCATAGTTCTCCGTTTTCAAAAACCCCAAGTAAGGCAAGCTCACTTTTTTACCTTTTACCAAGTGTCAGGCCTCTGAGCCCAGGCCATCGCATCCCCTGTGGCTTGCACGTATACATCCAGATGGCCTAAAGTAACTGAAGATCCACAAAAGAAGTAAAAACAGCCTTAACTGATGACATTCCACCATTGTGATTTGTTCCTGCCCCACCCTAACTGATCAATGTACTTTGTAGTCTCCCCCACCCTTAAGAAGGTTCTTTGTAATTCTCCCCACCCTTGAGAATGTACTTTGTGAGATCCACCCCTGCCCACCAGAGAACAACCCCCTTTGACTGTAATTTTCCATTACCTTCCCAAATCCTATAAAACGGCCCCACCCCTATCTCCCTTCGCTGACTCTCTTTTCGGACTCAGCCCACCTGCACCCAGGTGAAATAAACAGCTTTATTGCTCACACGAAGCCTGTTTGGTGGTCTCTTCACACGGACGCGCATGAAACCAAGCACTACCTTTTTTACCTCATATTTTCTGGACCAGTGATGCTTCCAAAGTGCAACTGTAAACCACAGCTGCAAATTGAGTTGCAAACACATTTTGCTTAAGGTACAAACCACAAATTAAAGTAATGATCACTTCAAGATGAAACTTTTTTTTGTATTTTAAAACCAGAATGAAAGTAGGTCAATGAAATTTCAGATATTTTAGAGTATGTACAGTATTGTATTGTTTGCCAGTACCTAATTTACAATTACAGAGCTCCATGAATATTGAAATGATTCAGCTTCCCATTATAAATGTATGTGGCAGTTTGGTTGTTGATCAGTTTATGAAGTTAATGCAAATGGAACTGTCTTCCTGTCAGCATTTGAAATCTATAATGCAGTCATGTTGTATATTCAGGGACAGGCCATTGACAGTCAATTAACAAGTTTGATTGGTATGTCAACTCATTCTTTTGAATTGTTAATAGTATGTTAATAGCATTCGTTTCTTTGTGCAGTCCCATTTGCAGCTTCACAGTTACAGCTATTTTTTATAATTCTGAGTAACCTAAAATAGTGCCTTAATAATAGATTATTAAACACCTGTCTAGTGTAGCTTAGGGAGGTTTTTCTAGACTGGGAGTTTGCAGTGGATCCCTTTGATATTCAAATCAACAAATGATAGCCTTTTTATTCAAAACGTAAATTCTTTTGATGGTTAGCTTGTTAAGAAATATTCAGCTCTAGTCTGACCTGATCTGGTTTCCCATGGAAAAGATCTGATGCCGTTTGAAGGTTCATAAATGGAATGCCAATGACAATTTGTTGTTGACGTTCTGCCGCCTCAGCCCTCAGATGCTGCTGGTTGATGTGCCGCTTTAGCTTCACCAAATAATCCTTGCAGGTAAATGATCTATGGATTGATCAGATAGTTTCAAAGCAAAGAGGGCTTTTCTGTGGTCTGGATTTTTAGGCTTGAAGGGGTACTTAAAAAGATGCGTCAAAATTGACAGATGAATCTTAAGGCATAGAGTGATGGGAGAAAGCAGAAATGTGGGAATATTTTTAAGTGACTAGCGTATTACTTAGAGTTTTGAAACCATCAAATGTCGATCAAATCTGTTCCCCATAGCAGAATTATTTCTACCTTGGTTTTTGTTATGGTTGTTTTGTCTGTATGCACAGGTTTACTCTCACTTTTCTGGGGAAGTTGATGAGACATTAAATGTATTATTCCCGAATGGTGCTTTGGAATAAGGTTGTGAGTTCATTTGCACAGGCATGTTTTATTCATATAGTTCCTGTGCACCAGAATATAAGAATCTGCCATTGCTTTAGCCGAAAAAAATGGTCTATACCAAGGAAGCAGTAAAAATTTTATTCCTTCCCTGCATTCTTCACTTCACTTGATGATGCTTTCCACAACCTACTGTTTATATTTAATTTCATTGGCAGAAGTTTCTTTATAATAATGGGGAAAAAATCTCACCAATGTAGTTTAGATATTTAATTAATATTTTTCTGTTCTATGCTTCAATGAATCTGGAAGAGCAATTTGCATGTTTTTGAATTTTAAAATTAGATGGTACTTCAGAGATTAACATTCAGATGCCTTCAATATGCAGATAAAGAAACTGAGGCAAATAGTGAGACGTCAGAGATAGTTGGTGCAGACCCAAGTCTATTTATTACTAACCCTGTTCACATCCTGCTTGCTGTCCTTAAAAACACATAGAAGCTCATTTGAAGGTTGATACAACTCTAATGTATATTTCTCAACTGGATAAAGAAAGTTGCTGAAGTTTTCTAACTATAACATCAAAACCTTTATATTACAGTTTAAGAACTATACTTAATACCAGTAAAAAATTATAGAGTATGTATTTTTAATGTGTAACCAAAATATCTATAAATCAGGAGGAGAGACAAGAGAAAGAAAATTAACTACTGTCTTAGACAGTTTATTTGTTCGCTGTCTGCCCTTAGGCAAGACCATAGACCTTATGACCTATTTCCGGATGGGGAGAGGAGAGGAAAAGAAGGAGGCACACAAGCATTAATTGATAACAGGTTTTACTGTGTCACGTTATATAACCCTCCAGCAGTGCTTCTCAAGGTATGTTTCACAGATCACTAGTCCCACAAGATGCTTGGCCACCAAAATCCTCTGTAGCTAGAGAATCAGGGCAAATGTGCCCTTAATGGCAGTTCACATTGTCACAATGCTTGTTTAATGACTCTGAGAAAGTCCTGCAGTAATGAAACTTGTTTAGCTCTGCTCAACCCAGGATTTCCAAAACTAATTTGAACACAAAATCTTTGTTTCTTTCTTTTTTTGTTTATAGGCTTGTTTCTCTTAAAACCAGCTACTATCTTTCATGGAAATTTAGGGGATTTCTCTGTGCTTCAATTTTTTCATCTATAAGTGGGTGTAATAATAGTACCTATTGACATGAGGCTTAAACAGGCTGATATAGGTAAAGCACTTAAATCATGTCTATCATATTGTATTACGGAAGTATTTGCTATTGTTATTATTGGTTGATTGATTGATTGATTTTGAGATGGACTCTGGCTCTTGTTGCCCAGGCTGGAGTGCAATGGCGTGAGCTTGGCTCACTGCAACCTCTACCTCCTGCCTTAGCCTCTCCAGTAGCTGGGATTACAGGCCCCCCACTACCACGCCTAGCTAATTTTTATATTTTTAGTAGAGATGGGGTTTCACCATGTTGGCCAGGCTGGTCTTGAACCCCTGACCTCAGGTGATAAACCTGCCACAGCCTCCCAAAGTACTGGGATTACAGGCATGAGCCACCACACCGACCTGTTATTATTTATGCATAGTAACATGGTTAGTGTTGTTATCATTGAATGAGCGAGGCCAGTGCTGTTGTTTCATTCACTTTGCGTTTACTGAATGTACAGTGTGGTAAACTGTACGCAAGGCATTAGGTTAGAGTTTGAGATTTTATGAGTCAATACAACAGGACATAAGAGGGGAAGCAGACATGTCAGCTAATAAGTTACAAAGCAAAGTGGTGAGAGACTAGCGTATCTGTGATATGAAGCTAAGTGTAGGATCTTGGATGTGGCAAGGGGATGTGGTACACAGGTGTGGTGGATTGGAGCCAAAGTGTGAAGGACCTTATGTCCAAGCTCTGAAGTTTGAGTTTTATCCTGTAGACCACAAAGCGAGCAGAGAATTGTTGTGCATGAGAATGACATGATCAGCCCTGTTTTTTAGGAAAAAAGCTTGACAGCTGGGGTTGGAGAAATGAGAGAAAAGGAAGCAGGAAAACAGTGGGATTATGAACTGAGGCAGTGGCATTGGGAATGGAGCGGGCATATATTAAGAGACATTTCTGATGTAGAATTGATGAGAATCCATAGCCAGTTAGTTGCAGGAGGGGTAACAGAAAATATACTCGTGTAACAAACCTGCACTTGTATCCCCTGAATCTAAAATAAAAATTGAAATTACTTAAAAATTTTAAGAAAGAAAGAAAGAAAAATGGAGAAACCAAGGACAGGACTGGCATGTCAAGTTTGGGAGATTGTATAAACAGTATTCAACTTAGTTTTATAAATAGAGACACTGCATTTTTCAAAAAGAAACTGATCCATGTGTCTACAGCCTGCCAGCAGTTTTATAACAATGACCTTCTTCTCAAGGGAGACTAATTGAACATATGTGTAGATTGCTTGGCACGACTTATGAAAACTATTGGTAACACAAATCAAAAGTGACTAACTCAGTAAGTAACTTATTGGAAGTATATGGGAATATACATTTAAAAAATAAATGTAAATGCCATATACAGTGTTAGAATGATAGTGAAAATTTGCTTCCTTTCTGCCTACTCACAAAGCTTTATACGTGGCTCTGCTAAAGCACTTCTAATATTCTTATTATATTTATTATTTTATATGTCTTCCTTCTCCTTTTCTCCTTTCCCATTTTGAACTTTTTAGTCCTAGATCTTGTTTGTCTTCATATTTTCAGATCCACCCAGAATGGATGCATAGTAGGTACTTAATTAATGGTTTGGGTATATAATACTTGAAAAAAACATTTCTCTGATTTTATTCTGATAATAGAAATTCAAAATATTCAGCAATATTAGTTATAAAATATCATGTAAGAACCTTTTGCATGTTTCCTTTATCTTCAAAATCTTGAGCTGTATTGGCCTGCAACATATATTTGAACTGCCATGTTACATGAATATTAATGGAAAAATAAACCCAAACTCTTGGTTTGATGTTTATTAAATGCCAGTTTCTCTGACTTATACAGTGCCACACGTTGTGGCAGGGACATTTTAAATCATCTTTTAAATATCAGCCTCTCTTCTCTGTTGTGGGACTCCTTATTGTCATGGCCTTCTCTTTGAAGACACAGGAAGCTCTAGTCACCTGGAAATGTTAAGCCATTAGGGTATATCTTATATAATTTTATTTTTTTTATTTTTTTGTTTTTTGTTTTTTGTTTTTTTGGTTTTTTTGAGACAGAATCTCGCTGTGTCACCCAGGCTGGAGTGCAGTGGCGCGATCTCGGCTCACTGCAAGCTCTGCCTCCCGGGTTCACTCCATTCTCCTGCCTCAGCCTCCTGAGTAGCTGAGACTACAGGTGCCCACCACCCTGTAGCCCACCACGCCCGGCTAATTTTTTTTTATATTTTTAGTAGAGATGGTGTTTCGCCGTGTTAGCCAGGATGGTTTCGATCTCCTGACCTCGTGATCCGCCTGCCTCGGCCTCCCAAAGTGCTGGGATTACAGGCGTGAGCCACCGCGCCCGGCCGTATTTTATATAATTTTATCAGAAGTTGGTTAACTGTTCTTCCTGCTACTTTATGCTGTGCTTATAAGTATTTTAATTTACCTTTATGTTCTGCCAGTTTTCCATTCTCTAACATATCACACAAACTTAAGTAATAACAAAAAAGACATTATCAGCTTCAAATTCAGAACTAATATGCTATTTTTAAAGTTCTTCGACTCCAAAATTGGAGTGGCATATTATTTTCTACTATCTACTCTGTTTAAGCAATACCCAGATTATAAATCTCACCTGCAGAGAGACATCCTTGTCTCTCAATATAAAGACTGTGGAAGGTCTTAAAAGTTGTAATAATCATTCATTCCACCATAAAGAATTCGACATAGAATAATATATTCATGCCTGTGTTACCCCCAGGAACATAGATTTATACCATCTATCTCCTTAAATATCTGTAATATTTCTTTTTATTTTTAGAAAAGGACTTTATGCTTTGAAAAGAAAATGTAACCATATTCTCTGCATCCCAAACTTGTTTTTATTTAAATATGTAGCTTTTTCAATCTAAATATTTTTGTCTAATCTCAAGCCTTTCCTGTTTTTCTGGTATATGACAGGATTTCTTCAGGTGTTAGAGAAATTTTATCTACAGGAATAGAGGAGGTTCACAAGAGGATGCTTTCTCCAGGGCCATGTCAGGAACTTTCATCCCTGAAAGTATGTAGCCATCTTGTTGTTCAGTAAAGGGAATGCTTTCCTAATGTGTCCAGCCGCTATATTAACATTTGTCTTTGTATGGACTACTTTTTCTTCAGGTAATTATAAAACATTCCGAAGGTCTGGAAATCTGTAATATAATTCTGCGGTTTCCTCTAGTCCTGCAATCTCTCCATGTTTATTCATTGTTATGCTGATACTTTAAACATATTTTTATTAGAGATGTTATTATAGCAAGCAAGAAAAACTGTAATGCATGAAACTTTAATTATTACTTGCCCTTTAATTATATAACCATTACTGGGAATGATTTCCATAGCTCCTCTAGATTGGGTAAAATTCTAATCTCATTGGCATATATTATTTATTTTATAAAACTCTTACCATTTAAATATGTCAGATTGTTTGTCAAGTTTGTTATAGTGTGGGGACAGAGAGATGGTGATACCTGTCCTCTCCGTCATAAAGGTCATGGCTGACACCCCTACAATAAAGACAGACTGACAAAAGCATAACATTTATTTAATCAAAGTTTTACATGACATGGGAGCCTTCAGATTGAGTGACCCATAGATAGAGGGAAAGCAGTCTGATTTTATGCATGGGTGCTTTAGATCTGATGAAGCAAGAAGAGCGTGTAGAGATGTGATTGGACAAAAATGGTACGATCTAATAGTAATAGACTGAGGTTGTGGAGAATGGGACCCAGCAAGGCCTGTGTGTTCAGATTCTTCTTGTCCTCTCTGAGCATGCATTCCTTCTGAGTATGGGGCAGGACCCACACTGGAATGGAGATCTTATAACCTACAATCAAACAAAGTGGTCAAATAATTGCTTTACGGCCAGTTCTTAGAAAGGTGGGGGAAAGTTAGAGTAGTAATTTTAGGTTTATGGATGGCTTTGAGAAAAGGGGTTCTGGTTTCCATGACCCAGCTTGGAGAAAAGGGATTCTAGTTTCCATGGCTTGCCTCAGGGGAGAATGAGAGGTAAGAGACAGGAGGGCAAGAGAAGGACAGAAACCACTTCTTAGGCTGCTTCTGAGGCTTTCACTTTAGAGTGTCATTTTCTGAGCCTCAACAAAAGCGTATACTTTTAGTTAGTTACACATGGACTTCCAATTTTTTTAGTACATAAAGATTGCATCACTTACAAACTGACATTGTTAATGCCCTTTGCACTATTTACCATTGATTTTATACTGTTATCCACACATTTCCCCCTTTTAAATCAGTAAAATTTAATTGTTAGACAGTTAATCAGGGTTCCAGGCTTGGCTCTGTAATATATGACAGCAGAAGCAAAATGGTGTATTTAGCAACAAAACCTAGTTGCTTTGACCTTTTACCTGATTTTTCTTTCTTATTTTGACGGTGCATAGTTTTTAATTTATTATCACTATTTTTAAAATCAGCACAATGAAACTAGTTGAAAGAACCAAAAACAGTATTTCAAGGGGGCAAAGAGATACAATAAAGATTTATAAATTGTATGCATGTTACTTTATCTTTGAGTATAGGGGTAACTGCAAACTAAAGAAATAGTAAAACATCTCCATTGAAGTGTTTCCCCTCCTTCTCCCAACTGAAAGCAGGTCTTCTCTAGTCTTGAAGTTCCTATTAATTACCTGGGGCTAAAGACATTCACTTTCAGTAAGTAAAGAAATCTAGATTTATCTTGTGACTTGGTTGAGGTTACTTGGTAGCAAGAAAGTGAGTTCCAGTAATGAAAGCTGGCAGGCCAGGATTTGTGCTCCACTCTGTTGGCATATGAAATTACAGCACATCATTCAAACAAAATCAATAATCCAACTTTTATGTCCTTTGCTAGGTACAGTGAAATTTTATTATCCTGTGATCATTTTATTCTTCCTGGATTATGTCATGTGCTGTGGCAGTAAGAGAAGCAGCTCAAGTAGATAGAGTATATAAGATCAAAACTTGTGTTTTTACCAATGTGCCATAATGATCATATGATATTCAAAGAAAGATGCTATAAAAGTCAGACTCTTATTTCTTTAAATCATCACTGTAATATCCTGAATGATATTAGGAGGTTCAATTTACCTTGAGAAAGAATTTTGCTCCTTGGTGTGGAATGAGCTTTATCAGCTGTGGTATTCCTTAATTGAGGCAAATGGAATCAGCAAGAGATAGTTTGTTTTAACATAAAAATTGCTCTACATGAACAAGGAGAGAAAAACTACATGATCATATTCTCGCTCCTTTTCTATGGAACTAGAGTACTTTTGTAGAAAAGATGAATTGTTCTTACGGAAGATCTACACAGCCATAAAATCTAGGTAATAAATTACTTTAAAGCATCAGCTCCTAAAGTATGTTTCCATAGTAAAGTATGGACCAGGCCAAAATCCAGGCTTAAACATTTTCTCCTTGTTATCACCTCGTTAAGCTTCCCACGTCTGAGCCATGCCTCCTACAGTCACAGGTATGGTGCCACTAATTAAGAAGAAGGGGCTCATTACCAATTCTCATTAACATCAATTGGAGTTTTAAAGCCAAATCCCTGGACTGAAAATTTACCCCCTTAATGTTCAACACAGGTGAACGAATAAAATCATTTAAATGCCTGTATCATGGGGTAGTGCAAATGTGCTCTCCAAGGATGAACAAATTGCTTACTGCAGTCTGGCGCTAATCCCATTGCTCACTAAAAGGCAGGCAGAGCTTTGAAGAAAAATACTATTTGAAGGGAGACACTAATGGGGAAAGGAAATGGGGAGATGGGGACTAACTAAATATCCAAATTATCATTTGGATGTGTCATCCTCCGTAAGAATATGTGGAAAAACAAAATTAACAAAAGATTGTTTGAAGCAGTGTCTGACAATTAAGTGCTCAACAAGTATTATTTGAATGAATGAATGAAGAAATAACTGTTCACCAGTTTAACTTGCCAATGAAACTTACTTTCACGTGCGTCCCTGTGAAGAGCCCACCAAACACGCTTTGTGTGAGCAGTAAAGCTTTTTAATCACCTGGGTGCAGGTGGGCTGAGTCCGAAAAGAGAGTCAGCAAAGGGAGATAGGGGTGGGGCCGTTTTATAGGATTTGGGTAGGTAAAGGAAAATTACAGTCAAAGGGGTTGTTCTCTGGCTGGCAGGGGCAGGGGTCACAAGGTGCTCAGTGGGGGAGCTTCTGAGCCAGGAGAAGGAATTTCACAAGGTAATGTCATCAGTTAAGGCAGGAACCGGCCATTTTCACTTCTTTTGTCATTCTTCAGTTACTTCAGGCCATCTGGATGTATACGTGCAGGCTTGGGCCCAGAGGCCTGACACTTACCTGTCAGACTCAACATTTGCTTGAGAACATCCTGTATTATATTCCTTAAGCCTTCTTCTCTAATTTTCATGTCCTATAGGTAACACTGTAAATTATTTTGTTGTGGGATGCTCTTGAGTTAAGAGATTTTCAAATGCTTAATTTTGTGAAAAGTTAAAATGTGTTGATTTGTTTGATTTGAGAGAGCTGTTCTGCAGTTCATTGAAGTGATACGTCAGAGGGAAATAAGTCTTCTTGGAAAATGAAATCAACCTTCCCTTGTCTTAGATAATGCTTTCCCTCTTTTGTAAACCCTGAAGCTAACCAATATAAACTAAATTTCTACTTTTTCTCGCAATTTAAACAATGACCCGCCAGCGTGGTGGCTCACGCCTGTAATCCCAGCACTTTGGGAGGCCGAGGCAGGTGGATCACAAGGTCAGGAGATCGAGACCATCCTGGCTAACACAGTGAAACCCCATCTCTACTAAAAATACAAAAAATTATCCGGGCATGGTGGCGGGCGCCTGTAGTCCCAGCTACTGGGGAGGCTGAGGCAGGAGAATGGCGTGAACCCGGGAGGCGGAGCTTGCAGTGAGCCGAGATGGCACCACTGCACTCCAGCCTGGGCGAGAGTGCAAGACTCCATCTCAAAAAAAAAAAAAAAAAAAAAAAAGCAAGAACAATGACCCAGAAATATTTATAAATGTTTGCCCCTAAACTACATACGTATTAGAGAATTGTTTCTGATTTCATAGAATCATGAATGATTGATAGATTCTTGTATAAATTGTTCATTTTTTTTTCCTGAGTGGGCATGTGGTTCATATTTAAATCACACTAACAATATGTAGCATGAATAGCCTCCCCCTAAAAGTGTAATGACTTTCGTCTACATTTTTCATGAGTGTCAGATTCTTTCGTGATGTTTCTACCTATCAGTGGTAGTTACATGATCATAAAACATTGTAGCTGGAAGGAGCCTTCAAAGCCATCTAGTTAAATCCCCACATTTTACAAATAAGAAAATCAAATTCCAAAAAGTTTAATTGACTTACCAAGCTCGTAGGCTCATAGGCCCTTACCTAGAATTTTGTCTCCTTATCCCCAGTTCAGCCCTGGTATTATTAATAATGTGTAACTCAGCACAGCTCTCTCTAGCTTCACTCACCCATCCTAAGTTTTCTTCTTTCACAATCCAAAGTTGTTTTAAAATTGTAATTAATCAGAGTAAAAGAAACTCTTGAAAAAATACTCTTCTGGATATATGGGATAATCACTGCTTTTACTTAAGATAGGCTTGCCTTACCACCTTATAAGCATTAACTTTTCATCTTTTCACCTGCTTAAAAATTGAAAGACAGTGATAATGGATGCATAAATGCATCATGGGATGAATAAATTGTGTGTTAGAAAAGAGAAAATGAATGTGTTCGTGAAAGAGCGAGCACATCAATCAGTGGTTGCATGGTGTTTGCACCAGAGTGTCCAGGGGACACCACACCAATCAATCATTCAGGAAGCTCCCTCCAGTTTTCAGAAGGAGAAAAAGATTTTATACTAACGTGCTATAGAGAAAGCCTAGCATTTAAAGAGGTCATTCAAGGAACTCTTCCAGTTCCCAGAGGGGAGGAAAAAGTGGAAAGGGGGCAAAATGCCATAGTAAGAACTAGTTTGGAATTTAAAAAATTCTGATTATGTTATGAATTATTCTCATTTTAGATTGACTCAAAGGCATTAATTAAATATCTTTTGGTACATCCCACCCTTACCTGAGCATAAAAAATTGACATTTGTATATAGCTTCTGCCTTCAAGGAGCTTAAAAACTAAAAATGTTTATTCTTCAGAGCTTTTATTACTATACTGAATTAAAATCCAATACTGCCATTTTCCTTGAGCATTAAACATACAAATATTTACTGAAAATATTTGCTTTATGAATCATCCATCCAGTGATTATTGGTCATTTGCAAGATACTACATTAGCTGCTGCCTTGAAGTAGCTTATACACTGGTAAGGCAAATAAAATTTGTGTATAAATAATTATAATGCAAAATAGAAAGGAATTTTTCATGCGCGTCCGTGGGAAGAGACCACCAAACAGGCTTTGTGTGAGCAACATGGCTGTTTATTTCACCTGGGTGCAGGCGGGCTGAGTCCGAAAAGAGAGTCAGCAAAGGGAGATAAGGGTGGGGCCGTTTTATAGGATTTGGGAAGGTAATGGAAAATTACAGTCAAAGAGGGTTGTTCTCTGGTGGGCAGGGGCAGGGGTCACAAGGTGCTCAGTAGGGGAGCTTCTGAGCCAGGAGAAGGAAATTCACAGGGTTAATCACTCAGTTAAAGTGGGGCAGGAACACATCACAATGGTGGAATGTCATCAGTTAAGGCGGGGCAGGACCTTTTCACTTCTTTTGTGATTCTTCAGTTACTTCAGGCCATCTGGGCATATACGTGCAAGTCACAGGGGATGCAATGGCTTGGCTTGGGCTCAGAGGCCTGACATTCCTGCCTTCTTATATTAATAAGAAAAATAAAACAAAATAGTGTTGAAGTGTTGGGGCGGCGAAAATTTTTGGGGGGTGGTATGGAGAGAGAATGGGCGATGTTTCTCAGGGCTGCTTCAAGCGGTATTAGGGGCGGCGTGGGAACCTAGAGTGGGAGAGATTAAGCTGAAGGGAGATCTTGTGGTAAGGGGTGATATTGTGGGGATGTTAGAAGAAACATTTGTCATGTAGAATTATTGGTGATGGCCTGGATACGGTTTTGTATGAATTGAAAAACTAAATGGAATAAGAGAAGGAGAAAAACAGGTATAAAAGGACTAAGAATTGGGAGGACCTAGGACATCTAATTAGAGAGTGCCTACGGAGGTTCAGCATAGTCCTGCCAGCAAAGATTATTTATTTACTTCAAGAGTTAAGAGTGGCAGTTTGAGGATAGCACGAGGAGATATCAGCTGTGACGGCTTGGAAAAACAGTGTAAACCGGCAGTGTAAACAAGAGCAGGGCATGTATGAGTAGTTGAGAACGGTGAATAGGAGTATGACTAGACAGAAGATAGTAGGGATGACAAGTTATTTGGGGGCACAGTCGAAGTTGGTCTGGTGTCTGGAATGAGACTGGGGCCTAATAAAAAGGAGCGTCTATACAGGAGCTCAAATGGGCTGTACCTTGTAGCATTCTGAGGACAGGTCTGACTACTGAGAAGGGAAAGTGGTAAAAGTATTGTCCAGTCCTTTTTAAGTTGGTGGCTGAGCTTGGTGAGGTGTGTTTTTAATAGACCATTAGTCTGTCACTGAATACTAAGAGCCTGAAAAAATGCTTGGCTGATTTGACTAATAAAAGCTGGTCTGTTATCAGACTGTATAGAGGTGGGAAGGCTAAACTGAGGAATTATGTCTGACAGAAGGGAAGAACTGACTGCCGTGGCCTTCTCAGACCTTGTAGGAAAGGCCTCTAAAAGTATTAAAGCAGCGGCAGCCGCTGCAGGCAGACATGAGGGCTAGGCTAAAACAGTAAGGTCAAGTTGTTTGGACAGAAAGGCTATAGGGTGCGGTCCTGGCTCTTGTGTAAGAATTCTGACCGCACTAACCATGCCTAGGAAGGAAAGGAGTTGTTGTTTTGTAAGGGATTGAGGTTTGGGAGATCAGCTGGACACGATCAGCAGGGAGAGCACGTGTGTTTTTACGAGAATTATGCCAAGATAGGTAACAGATGAGGATGAAATTTGGGCTTGACTGAAGTAATGGGGGCTGTCTGTGAAGCTTTGCGGCGGTACAGCCCAGGTAATTTGCTGAGCCTGATGGGTGTCAGGGTCAGTCCAAGTGAAAGCGAAGAGAGGCTGGGATGACGGGTGCAAAGGAATAGTAAAGAAAGCACGTTTGAGATCCAGAACAGAATAATGGATTGTGGAGGGAGGTATTGAGGATAGGAGAGTATATGGGTTTGGCACCATGGGGTGGATAGGCAAAACAATTTGGTTGATAAGGCATAGATCCTGGACTAACTTGTAAGGCTTGTCTGGTTTTAAGACAGGTAAAATGGGGGAATTGTAAGGAGAATTTATAGGCTTTAAAAGGCCATGCTGTAGCAGGCGAGTGATAACAGGCTTTAATCTTTTCAAAGCATGCTGTGGGATGAGATATTGGCATTCAGAGGGGTAAGGGTGATTAGGTTTTAATGAGATGGTAAGGGGTGCATGATCGGTCGACAAGGAGGGAGTAGAGGTATCTTATACTTGTGGGTTAAGGTGGGGGAATACAAGAGGAGGACGCAAAGGAGGCTTTGGATTGGGAAGAAGGGCAGCAATGAGATGTGGCTATAATCCAGGAATAGTCAGGGAAGCAGATAATTTGGTTAAAATATCTCGGCCTAATAAGGGAACTGGGCAGGTGGAGATAACTAAAAAAGAGTGCATAAAAGAGTGTTGTCTAAGTTGGCACCAGAGTTGGGAAGTTTTAAGAGGTTTAGAAGCCTGGCTGTCAATACCCACAACAGTTATGGAGGCAAGGGAAACAGGCCTTGAAAAGAAGGTAATGTGGAGTGGGTAGCCTCCGTATTGATTAAGAACGGGACGGACTTAACCTTCCACTGTGAGAGTTACCCAAAGCTCGGCGTCCGTGATGGTCTAGGGGGCTTCCGAGGCGATCGGGCAGTGTCAGTCTTCAGCTGCTAAGCCGAGAAGATCTGGGAAGGAGTCAGTCAGAGAGCCTTGGGCCAGAGTTCCAGGGGCTCTGGGAGTGGCTGCCAGGTGAGTTGGACAGTGCGATTTCCAGTGGGGTCCCGCACAGATGGGACACGGCTTAGGAGGAATCCTGGGCTGCGGGCATTCCTTGGCCTGGTGGTCAGATTTCCGGCACGTGTAGCAAGCTCCTGTGGGAGGAGGTTCTGGAGGAACACCTGGCCGCTGCGGTTCAGGCGTTTGGAAGTTCTTGTGTGCTGGAGATGTGGCTGGGGTTTGTCTCACAGTGGAGGCAAGGAATTGCAACTTTTTTCTATTATTGTACACCTTGAAGGCGAGGTTAATTAAATCCTGTTGTGGGGTTTGAGGGCCGGAATTTAATTTTTGGAGTTTTATTTAATGTCGGGAGCAGATTGGGTAATAAAATGTATATTGAGAATAAGACGGCCTTTTGACCTTTTAGGGTCTAGGGCTGTAAAGCGTCTCAGGGCTGCTGCCGAACGAGCCATGAACTGGGCTGGGTTTTTATATTTGATGAAGAAGAGCCTAAACGCTAACTGATTTGGGATAAAGAAAAATGAGCATTAACCCTGACTATGCCTTTGGCTCCAGCCACCTTTTTAAGAGTAAATTGCTGGGCAGGTGGGGGAGGGCTAGTCACAGAATGAAACTGTAAGCCAGACCAGGTGTGAGGAGGGGAGGCGATAAAAAGATTACAGGGTGGAGGAGCGGAGGCTGAGGAAGAATTGGGACCTAGCTTGGGCTGGCAAGGAGGGGAGAGATCAGATGGGTCTGTAGAAAAGGAAGATTAGAAAGACTCAGTGATGCTTGGGGTTGGGACTGAGGGGACAGGAGGGAGGGAAAGAAGGAAGATTTGGGACGAGTTGCACTGGGCACAGAGACTAGGAAGGGACTGATGTGTAAAAGAATGCCTGGACGTCAGGCACCTCAGACCATTTGCCCATTTTAGGACAAGAATTATTTAGATCTTGTAGGATGGAAAAATTGAAAGTGCCGTTTTCTGGCTATTTGGAACTACTGTTGAGTTTGTATTGGGGTCAAGCGGCATTGCAGAAGAAAATAAGGCATTTAGGTTTTAGGTCAGGTGTGAGTTGAAGAGGTTTTAAGTTTTTGAGAACACAGGCTAAGGGAGAAGAAGGAGGAATGGAAGGTGGAAGCTTACCCATAGTGAAGGAGGCAAGCCCAGAGAAAAGAGTAGAGACACGGAGAAGGGGTGGGGGGTTCTTGCCCTCCAGAAAAGCAGAGAAGGGGTTAGGGCACGGAAATAAGGGATTGGGGCACAGAGATAAGAGGTTAGGGCGCGGAAATAAGGGATTGGGGCACAGAGATAAGAGGTCAGGGTGCAGAAATAAGGGATTGGGGCACAGAGATAAGAGGTTGGGGTGTGGAAATAAGCGATTGGGGGGTTCTTGCCCCCTAGGAAAGCGGGACTTGCTGCTAAGGGTGAAGGAGAAGGGGTTGAGGGGTACTTGCCCCTGCCCCAGGAAAGCAGGACTTGCCACTAAGGGTGAAGGAGAAGGGGTTGAGGGGTACTTGCCCCTGCCCCAGGAAAGCGGGACTTGCCGCTAAGGTTGAAGGAGAAGGGGTTGAGGGGTACTTGCCCCCGCCCCAGGAAAGGCAGAGAAGGGGTAGAGACAAGGAGAGAAGGGGTTGGGGTACTTGCTCCTTCCCCAGAAAAGCGGGACTTGCCGCTAAGGGTGAAGGACCAAGGCAGGCGTCCCTGCATGGTCTGACACCCTTGAAACGTGGGTGTATAATCAGAGAGGCATCCCTGCAATGATTAAACACCAAGGGAAGGCTGCCTTCCCAGTCCGTGACCGGCGCCGGAGTTTGGGGTCCACAGATAAAACGTGTCTCTTTTGTCTCTACCAGAAAATGAAAGGAATTGAAATTAAGAGAAGGGAGTGATTGAAGTGTAGCGCCAAGATTGAAAGGAGAAAGAGGTTGAGGGATAGTGAGGGAAGTTGGAGAAGAGAGTAAAAAGAGGCCGCTTACCGGATTTGAAATTGGTGAGATGTTTCTTGGGCTGGTAGGTCTGAGGACCTGAGGTCGTAGGTGGATCTTTCTCACGGAGCAAAGAGCAGGAGGACGGGGGATTGATCTCCCAAGGGAGGTCCCCCGATCCATGTCACAGCACCAAATTTCATGCACGTCCGTGTGAAGAGACCACCAAACAGGCTTTGTGTGAGCAACATGGCTGTTTATTTCACCTGGGTGCAGGCGGGCTGAGTCCGAAAAGAGAGTCAGCAAAGGGAGATAAGGGTGGGGCCGTTTTATAGGATTTGGGAAGGTAATGGAAAATTACAGTCAAAGAGGGTTGTTCTCTGGTGGGCAGGGGCAGGGGTCACAAGGTGCTCAGTAGGGGAGCTTCTGAGCCAGGAGAAGGAAATTCACAGGGTTAATCACTCAGTTAAAGTGGGGCAGGAACACATCACAATGGTGGAATGTCATCAGTTAAGGCGGGGCAGGGCCTTTTCACTTCTTTTGTGATTCTTCAGTTACTTCAGGCCATCTGGGTGTGTATGTGCAAATCACAGGGGATGCGATGGCTTGGCTTGGGCTAAGAGGCCTGACAGTATTAAGTGACGGAATTGCATAGGCAACATAGTCTTTTCCCAAATTTCCAAGAAGAGAAAGAGAACCACAGAAACATGAAAGCTTTGCCCAAAATAATCTCATTACTAAATTGTAGATGTGGGAATTGGCTCCCCAAGTGTGGCTGGGTTCTCAGTAGCATTTGCTCCTGAAGGTGGTGTACTATTTGCATAGCTAATTAAAGCAGGATGCATATTGAAATGCCTTAATAAAACATTGCCCAGTAGTGAGGAAGACAACTACTCCCGATAAAGTGATTTTGTAAGCAGGAAATAGTTCTTGCCATACTGTTCCTGACAGCAAGACTTCATTTACTGCTTAATGGTCATTTTTTTTTTTTTGGCAGTAAAAATAGTATTTTATTCCACCCCCACCCGCCCTCCCTCTCCCTGCAACCCCCAGTACACCTTTCCCCTCTCGTTCCCACAGCAACGTTACAATCAGAAAAAAAAATAAGTTTCAGGGGGCAGGATTGGAGCGGGGGAGGGGATATGGGTAAAAACAGTCAAATCACAATAGGAATTTTTCAAAATAGGTTATTCCACTTAGTCATCATCTTCTCCCTCATCTTCAGGTTCTCCTTTTCGCTTCTGACCCCTTTCTTCTTCACGGAGCTCTTCTTCATCTTCCTCATCATCAACCTCTCCATCGTTATAACCTTTTTCATCCTCCTCCTCCTCTCCACTCACGTCCTCCTCTTCACCTTCCTCCTCCTCCTCGTCCTCCACTACCTGAGCATCTTCGTCATACTCCTCCTCATCCTCATCCTCCTCCTCCTCCTCCAGGCCCTCCACGTAGCCCTCAGCATCCAAGTTAGGGGCCTCCTTGTCGTCCCGGTCATAGCCGTCAAGATATGTGAGTTGCAGGAGGAGCTTGAACACATTTTCTCGGTAGTCGTTCAGGTTGGTTACCTCGCAATTGAAAAGGTCTAAGCTCTTGAGGTTTTCTAAGTTTTTCAGTGGCTCTGTTGTGCTGAGGTCTTTAATTTTGTTGCCACATAAATTTAGATGCGTGAGGTTCGGACACTTTTCTGCCAATGCTTCCACGCCCCCCGAGACTCTGTTATCGCTTAGTTCAAGCTTCTTAAGTTTGTTTAACTTCGGTAAGTTTGCAGTTGAGGTGAGGCCTACGTTGGTTGCACTGAAGAATTCCAGTTATTCAGATTCATCTGTGAGGCCTTCGAGTTTGCCTTCATTCGACCGACTGTTGTCCAGGACAAGTTCTTTCACATCAGAGGGCGTCCTGTTCCGCAGCTCTAAATGAATCCGTCTGCCCATCTTCATCTCTCGCGTTCTCTGCAGAGGCTCCCGCGCCGCTGGAATTCAATCAATAACACGGCCGCGCGTTTTAGCACTTTCAAGGCTCAACCAGCTCCGCTCAGTTCTCGAGCCCCCAGCACCCCCGGCACACGCTAACCTCAATGGTCATTCTTTTAATGCTGAATTTTTAAATAAGGAAACTGGGAGAGGTTTTTGTAAAGATTACCATCAAGTAAAATTGTAGAGGAAAACCCAATACCTAAGCAAAACAATGCCTATGTGCATGCATTCCAACCCAAGAAAAACAGTCATGATGTACAGTATAAAACTTCCTTCAACAACTCACCAGATTATGTAATGGAGATGAGCCACTTATCTATCGACTTTATCAACTAGGAACAAAAATATCTATCGACTAGGAACAAAAATAGTGTTTATTAACAGAATACATTAAAAGTGTCATAGAAAGCAGTATGTAAGAGCCCCAGTCTTAAGAATATTGAGTAACTAAATAACTTCCAGATTACAGATTGAATTAAAGCAATTATTCTTACTGGTGATGATCTAAACTAATCAGATCATACTGGTTTACAGGTCCACAAAAAGGATATCAAAATCATGGTCAGATTACCATTAGGATACATATAAATAGTAGATACCTGATTACCAATAACACTTGAAGTTTTCTTTTTTTCTTTTTTTTTTTTTTGAGATGGAGTCTCTGTCTCTGTCGCCCAGGCTGGAGTGCAGTGGCGCGATCTGGGCTCACTGCAAGCTCCACCTCCCAGGTTCACACCATTCTCCTGCCTCAGCCTCCCGAGTAGCTGGGACTACAGGCGCCCGCCAACACGCCCGGCTAATTTTTTTGTATTTTTAGTAGAGACGGGGTTTCACCGTGTTAGCCCGGATGGTCTCGATCTCCTGACCTCGTGATCTGCCTGCCTCAGCCTCCCAAAGTGCTGGGATTACAGGCGTGAGCCACCGCGCCCAGCCAACACTTGAGGTTTTCTAACATGTGATTACAATAAGGCAAATTCCTTTAAGGGGTTTCATGGCCTATACTTGTTACTTTTTAACTATACTAAATTATTCCTATCTGAAAAACTTCACCAAAATTCAGTTTGATGCTTCTTACTTTTTGACTACTTATATGGACCTAGATATCAACTTTACAAAATGAAATAATTATTTTTCCATGAGTATATAATGCTGACTTAATATGGCAGATATCTGGTACCTCATATTTATGCATATGAGAGTAAGAACATAAAATTTAATGCCAGAAACATGCATGGTTCTATCTAAATACTTGATTAGAAAGCTCTTTGTTCTTCAATTCCATCTTATCACACATTAAACTAAACATGTGGTGGCATTATTTCAATATATTATTAGTCCATGTTCTCTTTTGTTTCTTTTTTAACTAAGAAAATACTCATAACACAAATTAAACTTTGAAAGCACAATGAGTAGTTTCTAAGTTGAATATTCTCCAACTGCAGTACACTTTCTTGCATCTCAGATAGCAAATCTACCACAGTATATATAGCACACTGTGAGAAAGAATAATATTGTAAGCAGAGACCTTGATATATAGGAATTCAAGTATTTGAGAAAGAACCCTCCATTTTCAAAAGCTAAAATCTGGAAGACTATAAGTTTTTATGAATTTGAAATTTTAAAACAGTGTATATTTTGGGAAACACACACTCAAAACTGAATTTTTGGTAGGAAGAGCCTGAAACTGCAGTGCAATCAGGCTCTCTCTATTCTCTCTGGATTACATTGAATACTTTCATAATTGCATTTTTTGAAAGTACAATATCCACTAGTGAAATTCAGAGGTGAATAGAGCATTTATTCTCTGAGTTCTAATATTTTTATTGGATTTTTTTGCCAAGTAATCGACCTGTGCACACACATTGAGGAGACTGTCTTAAGCTAGGAGATGAAGACTTGTATGCAAGTGTTTATAAACGAAGGTCAGGACAGGAAAGAGAAGGAAGCCTGGCACAGTGCAGCCTCAGACAAAAGTTGTCTTGCATGGGAACTCTGGAATATACTTTATACCACAAGGTTGTCCAAACCAAGGAAAGGGAACTGGACTTTCCTACCCCTGGACTAGACAGTCATTGGAAAACTCCCAGGCTCTCTTTCACTTGTGGCCCAAGTGGCTCCAGTAGCTAAAGGGAGTGTGGCTGTTATACCAAAGGGAAGTGAATGCCCGGAAATGGTAAAAGGGCTTCTGGACAGAGCACTGACAACATCTCCTAAAGGTTGTTTCCCAGATACCAGAGATAGAAGTAGAGCCTGACTGAAGACCTATGTTTTCCTTGATATCAGTTAAGAATATTTTGATTTCAGCATACAGAAATGGAATGATCTCTTTTCAGATGTAGCTTGATCCAGTGTTCACACATTTTATCTCTCAATTCTACTTCCTCTGGATTTACTCCATCCTGATAGGACATTCCAGTAGCTCCAGTTTCTCTCCTCATTGCCATAAGCTGTTCCAAGCTTCATATACCCATACCACCAAGCACCAAGCCAGTACAAAATAGAGAATCCATATCCAATTTTCCCAACAAAAATACTGAATTACTTGCATTGATACAGTTTAGATCACATGCCCAATCCTATTTTAGTTGACAAGGCCAAGAAATGCAATGTTTTCATTGGCTTAAGCCAGCTGTTACATGCCCATTCCTAAATTTGGCTTAAGTCTATGAGTGGAGTCAATATTATTCAAATGTCATAGTTTGGGTGTTGTTAATATTAAATAGGAAAAAGAAAGTACAATTATAAGAAATTAACAAATAGCCACTGATCTCTTGTTCTTATTGTAAATTTTGATTTGTTGTATTCTGAATCTAATTTATTTCAAGCTGTAGACATGGTAATGTTTGAGCTAAATTGTGAACCCAGTTGGAACTAGCAGAGTTGGTTTGAGTGGAAGGAGAAACAAAGAATGCTCAGAAGTTAGGTTGTGGTATGTGAAGCATGGGATATACCACCACCACCACCTTATCACCCCACACCTGCACACAAACAAAAGAGGCCTTACTATCATGCTTACCTTGTTGGAACAGAAGTTTGCCATTAAATGCAGTTTTTTAAATTAGATGTCTCAGGAATTTGCTACAGGCTCAATCTGGGGCAAGCCAGAAGAATCAGCCTTAGTTACTTAGATGTATGACTACTTCCTAGCCATTTCTTCATGCATTCACTCAACAAATAGTAAGTACCCCATATATACCAGGTACTTTTCTAAATATTGGAAGTACAATGGTGAACTAAACATAGCAGGTTCCTCCTGTGGGGGGTTGGGGGCCATACACGATAACAAACAGGCAAACAAATAAACAGAGTATCTTTTGAGAGTGATAAATACTATAAAATAAATAAAACAATGAATTTAAAGTCAGGGAAGCAGAGCATTTATCTGAAAGGTGATGTTTGAGTGGAGATTTGATTGACAAGAAGCCAGCCATGCAAAGATCTGCATTAAAGACAATGAAAATATTAAGTACGACTGCAAGAAGTAGGAATAAACTCAGTACATTAGAGAATAGAGGAAAAAGGCTAGTGGCTGGAGTGTGGAGAGTGATGAGGGGTGAGGTGGGTGCAGTCAGAGAGGACATAGTGCCAGACCCATGTCCAAGACCTTTGTGCTTGTCTATAAGGGAAGTTATAGTGTTTGGCTTGAGGTGAACTTCAAATTCCTGCTGTCTTTATTCTTCAGCTGTTCCCAGGGAAGAAACCAGGGTTCTTTAGGCCACTGGAGCATTCCACAAAGCCCTGAGAAAGTCTTAATGATTCCTTTTGCACAACTAATTTTCTTTTATTGATTTTGTAACAGTGTACCTTAATTTTTTCTTATTCTAGAACCTGTACAAGCTTATAAAATCCAAGATTTTTAATTTTTATAACAACAAAAAGAATTTGTGCCATTTTGTCTTTTGTCCCACACTTAATAAAATACAATGGAGATTGTTTTATGTCTGTACATGTAGTACCCCTTCATTTATTTATTTACTTTTGATACAGAGTTTTGCTCTTGTTGCCTAGGCTGGAGTGCAATGGGGCGATCTTGGCTCACTGAAATCTCCATATCCCATGTTCAAGTGATTCTACTGCCTCAGATTCCCGAGTAGCTGGGATTACAGGTGCCCGCCACCACACCTTTCTAATTTTTTTTATTTTTAGTAGAGACGGGGTTTCACCACATTGGCCAGGCTGGTCTCAAACTGCTGACCTCAAGTGATCCCCCCACCGCAGCCTCCCAAAATGCTGAGATTACAGGCATGAGCCACCACGGCCAGTCCCTTCATTCTTTTTCATGGTTGCATGGTTTTTCATTGATGGGTGTATACTTTATTTTGCTAATTGTCTGTTGATGAATATCTAGATTCTTTTTAGTATTTTACTATTGTAAGCATTTCTGCAGTTGAACATTATTGTACAAATGTCTTTGCATTCTCTTGCAACTATTTTTGTAGGATAAGTTTTCCATAATGGAATTGCTGAGTATGAGAATTAAGATAAATATTGCTAGGCTGCCTGTGAAAATGTTATACCATACTCCTCCCATGCTTGGCAAATACTAGAACCTATCAATCTTTTTTATTTTTGCAAATGTGATAGAAAAAAGTGTTGCAGAAGTTCTTATTTTAGTTACCTATAGAATCTTGGAGTGTTTCCCTTCATGCCTTGGATATATATATATTGTTGTTGTTTGTTTGTTTGTTTTTGTTTTTGTTTTTGTTTTTGACACGGAGTATTGCTCTGTCACCTGGGCTAGAGTGCAGTGGTGCGGTCTCAGCTCACTGCAACCTCTGCCTCCCGGGTTCAAATGATTTTCCTGCCTCAGCCTCCTGAGTAGCTGAGATTACAGGCACCCACCATCACACCCGGCTTATATTTTGTATTTTTAGTGGAGACAGGGTTTCACCATGTTGGCCAGGATGGTCTTGAACTCCTGACCTCATGATCCACCCGCCTTGGCCTCCCAAAGTGTTGAGATTACAGGCATGAGCCACCGCGCCTGGCCTTGCCTTGAATATTTTAACTCCAGGTTCTGTGTCAATTATTAGTGATCACAATATCCTTCCAAGGTAGACAAGGCTGTCTTTCCAACACTTGACCTACTCTTTTTCATCCAAAGACACTAAATCTCTTGGTCATATACTGAGCCAATACATTGAGCCTTGTCATTACGAATAACAGCAAGCCCTCCATAATCTCATTTTGAGCACCTCACTCCCTGATTGCTACCTCCTGTCTTTCCAGTTCACTCCCAGTAATACTGATACAGTTTGGATGTTTGTTCCCCAAAATTTCAAGTTGAAAAGTGATCCCCAATCTTTGAAGTACAGCTTAGTGGAGAGTATTTGAGTCATGGGGGCAGATCGCTCATGAATAGCTTGGTGCCTACCCGTGGTAATGAGTGAGTTCTTACTCTGTTTGCTCCTGCGAGATCATGAGATTGAATTGTTTCAAAGACCCTGGCACCTCCTCCCCTCACTCTTGCTCCCTCTCTCACCATGTGACATGCTGGCTCCTCTTCCCTGCCACCATAAGTAAAAACTTCCTGAGGCCTCACCAGAAGCCGAGCCGATGCTGGCACCATGCTTCCTGTACAGCTTGCAGAACTAAGCCAAGTAAATCTCTTATTCATAAATTACCCTGCCTCAAGTATTCCTTAATAGCAACACAAAACAGACTAATACAAGTGCTGTGATTACAGAGATGGGTGGAGCAAGATGGCAGAAAAGAAAGCTCCACTGATTGTCCACCCGCAACAAGGACACCAATTTAACAACTTTCTACACACAAAAAAAGCACCTTTGTATGAACCAAAAATCAGATGAGAACTCACAGTACCTGGTTTTAACTCTATATCACTGGAAGAGGCACTGAAGAGGTAGAAGAAATAGTCTTGGATGGCCCATGCCACCCCCCTTCCATTTCCCGGAAGCAGCAGCATGGTGCAGAGAATATTTCTGTGCCCTGAGGAGAGGGAGAGCCAGCAATTGTAAGGCATTGAACTCAGTGCTGCCATTATTATAGCAAAAAGCAAAACCAGACCAAACTCAGTTGACACCCACCCAAGGAGGGAGCATTTAAACGAGCCCTATTTAGAGGGGAATTGCAGATCCCACTGATGGGAACTCCAATTCCTGCAAGCCTCATCACCACAGTCTACAGTGCTCTGGGGCTCCAAATAAACTTGAAAGGCAGTCTAGGCCACTAGGACTGCAACACCTAGGTGAGTCCTAGTGCCGAAATGAGCCCACAGACAGTAGACTGGAGGGGACATGTGACCTACTGAGATACCAGCTGGGACAGCTAAGGGAGTACGGGCATCACCCCGCCCCTAAACCCAGGCTGCACAGCTCACAGATCCAATAGAGACCTCTTCTTTCAACTTGAGGAGAGGAGATGGAAAAGTGGGGAGGACATTATTTTGTATCTTGGATACCAGCTCAGCCACAGCAGGATAGGACACCATTCAGAGTCTTGAACTCCCTTTGCAGGCCCTAGCTTCAGGACATTTCTAGACACACCTTGGGACATAAGGAAATCTGCTGCTTTAAAGGGAAGGGCTCAGTCCTGGCAGGATTCATCACCTGCTAACTGAAGATCCCTTGAGCCCTGAATAACCAGCAGCAATACCCAGGTACTATGTTGAGGGCCTTGGGTGAGATTCTGAGACTTGCTGGTTTCATGGGAGACTCAGCACATTCCCAGTTGTGACTACAGGGCAAGACTTCTTCTCTTTGATAAAAGTGGGACTTTGTCTTGCACCTTGGATCCCGGCTCAGCCACAGTTGGGTAGAGCATCAAGCAGACTCTTGGGGCTCCCAGGACTCCAGGACTTCGCTTTTGGATGGCATTTTTGGACCTGCCCTGGGCCAGAAGGGGAGCCCACTCCCCTGAGAGGTGAGTCCTAGGGCAGGCAGCATTCACCACAAGCTAACTGAAGAGCCCTTGGGCCTTAAGGGAACATTGGTGGTAGTCTGGCACTATACCTTGTGGGTCTGAGGTAGTGATGGCCACAAGGTGAGGCTCCTCTGCCTTTGGAAAGGGGAAGGAAGAGTGGAAAGGGTTGTGTCTTGTGATTTGAGTGCCAGCTCAGCTGCAGTATAGTAGAACACCAGGTGGGCTTCTAAGGTTTTTGACAGTAGTCCCTGGCTCCCAGATGACGCCTCTGGACCTGCCTGGGGCCTAGGGGAACTCGCCACCCTGAAGAAAAGGACACAGTCCTGATTGTAGAGCCCCAGGGCTTCGAGTGACCATAGGTGGTAGCCAGGGAGTGGTTGCAGCAGGCCTGGGTGAGACTCAGTGCTGTGTTGGCTTCAGGTCTGACCCAGTACAGTCCCAGGGGTAGTGACCACAAGGATTCCTGTGTCACTCCATCCCCAGCTCCAGGTGGCTCAAAACAGAGAGGAAGAGACTCCATTTGTTTGAGAGAAAGTAAGGGAAGAGAACAAAGAGTTTTTATCTGGTAATCCAGAGAATTCTCCTGGATCTTGTCCAGTCAAGGCAGTATACCTCTACAAGTCTGCAAGAACCACAGTTTACCGAGCTTTGGGTGCCAAAAAGCAGATACAGGTTAGATCACAACACCCAAGTCCTTTCAAATATCCGGAAAGCCTTCTAAAGAACTATGGATACAAACAAGCCTGGACTATGAAGACTATAATAAATACCTAATTCTTCAATGCCCAGACACAGACAAACATCTATAAATATCAAGATGATCCAGGAAAACATGACCTCACCAAATGAGCTAAATAAAACACCAGGAATCAACACTAGAGAAACAGAGATATGTGACCTTTCAGACAGAAAATTCAAAATAGCTGTTTTTAGGAAACTCAAAGAAATTCAAGATATCACAGAGAAGGAATTTGGAATTCTATCAGCTAAATTTAACAAATAGATTGAAATAATTTAAAAGAATCAAGCAGAAATTCTAGAGTTGAAAATGCAATTGGCATACTGAAGAATACATCCGAGTCTTTTAATAGCAGAATTGATCAAGCAGAAGAAAGAATTAGTGAACTTGAAGACAGTCTATTTGAAAATACATAGAAAAGAAAAAAGAAAACAAAACAATGAAGCAAACCTACAAGATCGAGAAAATAGCCTCAAAACAGCAAATTTAAGAGTAATTGGCCTTAAAGAGGAGGTAGGGAAATCGATAGGGATAGAATATTCAAAGCAATAATAACAGAGAATTTTTCAAACATAGGGGAAGATATCAATATCCAAGTACAAGAAAGTTATAGAACACCCAGAAGATTTAACCCAAGGAAGACTACCTCAGGGCATTTAATAATCAAACTTTCAAAGGTCAAGGATAAAGAAAAGGCCCTAAAAGCAGCAAGAGAAAAGAACCAAATAACATACTATGGAGCTCCACTATGCCTGGAGCAGACTTTCAGGGAAACCTTACAGGCCAGGAGAGAGTGGCATGACATATTTAAAGTGCTAAAAACTTTTACCCTGGAATAATATATCCAACAAAATTATCCTTCCAACATGAAGGAAAGATAAAGACTTTTCCAGGCAAACAAAAGATGAGGAATTTCATCAACACAAGACCTGTTCTACAAGAAATGCTAAAGGGAGTATTTCAATCAGAAAGAAAAGGGCGTTAATGAGCAATAAGAAATTATCTGATGGTATAAAACTCACTGGTTCAGCCTGGGCAACATGCTGAAACCCCGTCTCTACAAAAATACAAAAATTAGCCAGGCATAGTGGCACGTGTCTGTGGTCCCAGCTACTTGGTGGCTGAGGTGGGACAATTCCTTGAGCCCAGAGGGTCAAGGCTATGGTGAGCTGAAATTGTGCCACTGCACTCCAGCCTAGGTGACAGAAAACACACTGTCTCCAAACAAAACAAAACAAAAACCACCTCACTGGTAATAGTAAGTACACAGAAAAACACAGAATATTATAACACTGTAACTGTAGTGTATAAACTACTCGTATCCTACGTAGAAAGACTAAACAATGAACCAATCTAAAATAATGACTACAACAACTTTTCAAGACATGGGCAGTACAATAACATATAAACAGTAATAATAAAAAGTTTAAAAGTTGGGGGACACTTTTTAACTTTTAAGGTGCAGGGTCTTTATTATTTCTTTTTGTTTGTTTGTTTATGCAAACAATGTTGGTCTACACTATAGACCAAATGGATCTAACAGATATTTACAGAACATTTCATTGAATGACTGCAGAATACACATTATTTTCTTTAGAACATGAATCTTTCTAAAGGAAAAACCATATATTAGGTCATAAAATAAGTCTTAAAACATTCAAAAAATTGAAAAAATAGCAAGCATCTTCTGTGACCACAATGGAATAAAACTAGAAGTCAATAATGAGAAATTTTGGAAACTATACAAATACATGAAAATTAAACAATATGCTCACAAATGATCAATGGGTCAATAAGGAAATTAAGAAGAAAATTGAAAAATTTTTTGAAACAAATGGTAATGGAAATACATCATACCAAAACGTATGAGATACAGCAAAAATGGTACTAAGAGAGAAGTTTATATCTATAAATGCCTACATCAAAAAAAAGATGAAAAACCAAATAAACATCCTAACAATGTATCTTAAAAACTAGAAAAGCCAGAGCAAACCAAAACCAAACTTAGTAGAAGAAAAAAAAAATCAGAACAGAAATACATGATTTTGAAATGAAGAAAATAATACAAAAGATCAATAAAACAAAAAGTTGGTTTTTGGAAAAATAAAATTGACAAACCTTTAGCCAGACTAAGGAAAAAAAATGAGAAGAGCCAAATAAAATCAGAGATGAAAAAGAAGATGTTAGGCCAGGCACGGTGGCTCACACCTGTAATCCCAGCACTTTGGGAGGCCGAGATGGGTGGATCATGAGGTCAGGAGGTTGAGACCATCCTGGCTAACACGGTGAAACCCTATCTCTACTAAAAATACAAAAAATTAGCCGGGTGTGGTGGCGGGCGCCTGTAGTCCCAGCTACTGGGGAGACTGAGGCAGGAGAATGGCATGAACCCGGGAGGCGGAGCTTGCAGTGAGCCGAGATCGCGCCTCTGCACTCCAGCCTGGGTGACAGAGCAAGACTCCATCTCAAAAAAAAAAAAAAAAAAAAAAAAAAAGAAGATGTTATAACTGATATTGCAGAAATTGAAAGGTTCATTAGTGGCTACTATGAGCAACTACATGCCAATAAATTGGAAAATCTAAAAGAAACGGACAAATTTCCAGCACATACAACCTACCAAGATTGAAACAGGAAGAAATCCAAAACCTGAGCAGACCTATAACAAGTGACAAGATGAAAACCATAATGAAAAGTCTCCCAGTAAAGAAAAGCCCAGACAGAACCTAATGGCTTCACTGCTGATTTCTACCAAACATTTAAAGAGCTGATACCAATCCTACTTAAAGTATTCCAAAAAATAGATGAGGAGGGAATACTTCCAAACTCATTCTATGAGCCAGTATTACCCTGATACCAAAACCAGACAAAACTGGTATTTTGATCAGTATTGCGTTCAACCTGTAGATTGCTTTGGGTAGTCTGAACATTTTAACTGTATTCATTCTTCCAATCCATGAACATGGAATATCTTTCCATTTTTTGTGACCTTTTCAAGTTTTTTCATCAGTGTTTTGTAGTTTTCATTGCAGAGGTCTTTCACCTCTTCAGTTAATTCCTAGGTATTTAATTTTATTTGTAGCTATTGTAAATGTATCCCAGGTTTCTTCAGTCCAAGGATAGCTTTTTCCACTAAACATGAGACCATTTTGATGATGATATGCCATTTTGACTTGTACCAATAAGGCTTTCCATACAACTATAGTTGTGCTGCACTTTTCTTTACCTATTTTTTTTAAATGTATGTGGAAACTTTCCTCTATTACCACTCCCAAATAACAGCTAACTAGTGAATTAATTTATTTTTGTTACCTTACGTATGTAAAGACTGAGTAAAGGTATTTATTAGTATAAGGGGAAAAGCAGTTCGGAGAACTATACAGAGACAAAGTATTTTAGCTGAAAAAATAAAGCTATCACCATACTACACTAATATGCCTGTTCCAGATTGCAGAAAACCGAATAGATACATGAACATTTACAGCTATTCCTGATGGTTCTGTTATTTCTATAATAATATTTTTATTTTTATTTATTTATTTATTTTTTGTGATGAGATATTACTGTGTTGCCCAGGCTGGAGTGCAGTGACTATTCACAGGCATTGTCATCGCACACTATGGCTTCAGAAGCCTGGACTCAAGCAGTCTTCCTGCCTTAGCCTCCCAAGTAGCTGCTACTATAGGCACATGCCACCATGCCCAGCAATAAATCATTTTTAATATAGGTACAAATGAGACAGGTTAAAATCACAAATAAAAAATATTTTTGACAATCGTATGATTTTTCTAAGCCATTAGGTAGAACAATTCAAGATACTTTGCTGAAGTAACTCCTCTCAGGTATTTAAATTTAAGAAAAGTCAAATTTTCAAATTATACCTCCTCATGTTATAATCTTAGTTCAAAGATAAGTAAATCATTGTGGTAACACACCAGTGACAGCAAGCACACCTAGTACCTGGATCTTTGTTTCAAAATACGATAGCTTAATAGAAAAAATCTGGACTTTTTGAAGAAATGGCTGATTCTGTATCTGGGGCAGAGAAGATACAATATGAGCCTGAAGTATGTTATAGTGTCTGAAAGTAAGGAAGTACTCAAAAAAATAAAAGGCTAGAGACATCAAGTAGACAGAAAGCCATCCTGAACACGTCTCCAATGGCCAAAGCTATAACAATTTTAGCAACAAAATTTAAAGTATAAAAACCATATACATAACTTTATTATACTGATATAAATAATCCCCTACCATCAAGTGTTGATTGGACTTAGTGACTTCCTTACAAATAATAGAGCATGAAAGGAGAGGAATAACATCTTTATAGTAAACAAATCTGATAAACAGCACCTTAATCAAATGATCAAGATTAACATCACCAGTAATAGGTTATTTTTATTGCACATACCCCATTATAGGATGTGATGAGAAGGACATTTCACCTCTGTGGTATTCTTACCCAAATCCTGTAATTCTGATCTAATCCTGAGTATCAGATAAACTCAGATTGAGAGACAAAATGCCTTACCAGTGCACCTTAAAACTGTCAAGGTAATGGAAAATGAAGAAAGACTGAGAAACTGTCATAGACCAGAGGAAACTAAGGAGACATATGGCTGAATGCAATGTGTTATCCTGGATGGGATCCTGAAACAAAAGGGAGACATTAATAGAAATACTAATGAAATATGAATAAAATCTGGAGTTTAGTGACTGACAGTGTATCAACGTTGGTATCTTAGTCTTGACAAGTATACCACGGTAATTTAAGATGTTAACATTGGGGAGATTGGTTGAGTGGTACACAGGAATTCTCTGTATTACCTGTGTGACTTTTCTGTAAATATAAATTTACTTCAAAGTACAAAGTGTCCTTAAAAATCTATTAAATCCACTACACACCTATTAGAACAGCAAAATTCAAAACACTGACAATACCACATGCTGGTGAGAATATGGAACAAGAGGAACTCTCATTCATTGCTGGTGGAAATACAAAATGGCACAGCCACTCTAGAAGACAGTTTAGCAGTTTTATACAAAACTGAATATATTCTTAACATAAGATCCAGCGACTGTGCTCCTTGGTATTTACCCAAATAAGTTGAAACTTACATTTATTAAAAAACCAATACATGAATGTTCGTAGCAGCTTTATTCATAATTGCTAAACATTTGAAGCAACCAAGATGTCCTTCATTAGATGAGTGGATGAACAAACTTTAGTACATCCATCCAACGGAATATTATTCAAAGCTAAAATCAGGCCAGGCGTGGTGGCTCATGCCTGTAATCCCAGCACTTTGGGAGGCCGTGGCAGGCGGATCACTTGAGGTCAGGAGTCTGAGACTAGCCTGGCCAACATGATGAAACCCCGTCTCTACTAAAAATACAAAAATTAGCTGGGCATGGTGGTGGGTGCCTGTGATCCTAGCTACTCTGGAGACTGAGGCAGGAGAATCGCTTTAACCCAGGAGGTGGAGGTTGCAGTGAGCTGAGATCACACCACTGCACTCTAGCCTGGGTGACAGAGCAACACTTGGTCTCAAAAAAAAAAAAAAAAAAAAAAAACTAAAATCATGCCACAGAAAGACTGGATGAGCCTTAAGTGCATATTGCTAATTAAAAGAAGATTATCTGAAAAGGCTACATGCTATATGGTTCTATGACATTCTGAAAAGAGACAAAACTATGGAGACAGTAAAGAGATAAGTGGTTGCCAGGATTTCCAGAAGAGGGAATGAGGGATGAATAGGTGGAGCGTGGGGGATTTTTAAGGCAGTTACGTTATTCTGTAAGAAACTGTAATAGTGGGTACATTTCATTATGCATTAGTTAAAACTCACAGAAAGTTCAACACAAAGGGTGAAACTATAATATAAACTATATACTTTAATTAATAATAATTTATTAATATTGGTTCATTGCTATAGTGTAAATGTTTGTCCCCTCCAAAATTATGACAAATTTGATTGCTTTTTTTTTTGAGACGGAGTTTTGCTCTGTCGCCCAGGCTGGAGTGCAGTGGCGCGATCTCCGCTCACTGCAAGCTCCGCCTCCCAGGTTCACGCCATTCTCCTGCCTCAGCCTCCCGAGTAGCTGGGACTACAGGCGTCCACCACCGTGCCTGGTTAATTTTTTGTATTTTTAGTAGAGACGGGGTTTCACCTTCTTAGCCAGGGTGGTCTCCATCTCCTGACCTCGTGATCCACCAGCCTTGGCCTCCCAAAGTGCAGGGATTACAGGCGTAAGCTAGGGCACCCGGCCTTCATTGCTATTATAATGTCATTGGGAGGTGGGAGTTTTAAGAGATGATGAGTCCATTAGAGCTCCACCCTCATCAATGGACAAATGCTGTTTTCCTGAGAGTGAGTTCACTATCAGGAGAGTAGATTTGCCTTTCTTGCTCGTTTTCTTGCCCTCTTTTTGCTCTTCTACCATGTGATGCCTTCCATCATAGCATGATGCAGCAAGAAGGCCTTTGCAAGATTCTGGCCTTTTAATCTTAGACTTCCCAGCCTCCAAAACTGTAAACTAATACATTTCCATTCATTATAAATTACCCAGTCAAGTACCCTGTTATAGCAGCACAAAGCAAACTAAGAAAAGTGGTACTAGAGAGTGGAGAGTTGTTATAACTTGTTACAACTGTGAAATGGAATAAGTCTTTGGACGCCAAAATCGCCAAGCCAGAGGGAAGAGTCAAGCTGGGAACTGCCTCAGGCAAACTTGCCTCCCATTTGATTCCTAAATAAGATAGCTACGAAGATTAAAAAGCTACTTACCTGCCTCACAATTTGCCCACAAGGAAATTCCTTGTGGGCCTCAAGATCTTTACCCTGAAACAGTTGAATTTCACCCTGGCAATGTAAATTGATAGTTTATCTTCACAGGTACAGGACAAAAGAGAGAACTCAAAGTCATCCCTCTGCTCACCTGAGACAAATGCGTATCTGATTGCTTCCTCTTCCCTATTGTTTATGTAAAAATGCAGATTCACTGAGCCAGACTAAGACATAAGTGACTTTTTCTGTACCCCAGTTCATATGTGAATTGTGTATTCAGTGAAAGGCTAGTCAAAGACTCAAAAGAATGCAACCATTTCTCATCTACCGATGACCTGAAACCCCCCCCTTCAAGTTGTCCTACCCTTCCAGACCAAACCACTGTACATTTTACATGTATTGGTTGATGTCTCATGTCTCCCTAAAATGTATAAAACCAAGCTGTACCCTGATCATCTTGTTTGGGCACATGTCATCAGGACCTCATGAGACTGTGCCAAGGGCATGTTCTTAACCCTGACAAAATAAATGTTCTAAATTGATTGAAACCTGTCTCAAATACTTTTGGTTCACATAACAAATTATGGAAGTGACTTTGGAACTGAGTAATGGGTAGCAGGTAGAACAGTTTTGAAATTAATGCTGGAAAAAGCCTATATTGTCATGAATTGAGCATTGTGGGTAATTCTGCTGAATTGTTTCTACATGGCTCAGAAGAAGAGAGCTGTGGGGAAAGTCTGAAACTTCTTAGAGATTATGTAAGTGTTCATGATCAGAATATTGATAGAAATGTTAACAGTAAAAGCAATTCTAATGAACTCTCAGAAATGAGAAACAAGGTATTGGAAACTAGAGTTAAGGCCATCCTTATTATAAGTGGCAAAGAACTTGGCTGAATTGTGTCCATGGCCCAGGGCTTTATGGAAGGCAGAATTTAAGAGCCATGAACCAGGATATCTGACAGAAGAAATTTCTAAGCAAAATATTGAGGGTGCTGCATGGCTTCTTTCAACTGCACATAGTAAAATGTCAGAAAAGAGAAGTGATTTAAAGATGGAATTTATAATTAATTAAAAAGAAAGCAGAATGTAACCACTTGGAAAAATTGACACCTGGCCATATAAAGAATTAAAAAGCTTGCTTGGGAGAGAATACCAACGGGGTAGCCAAGCTACCCTTTGATAATGGGATTAGTATGGATAGAAGGAAGCCAAGTGCTATTCATCAAGACAATGGGAGAACAACCCAAAGGCATTTAGGAGATCTTCCAGGATGTCTTTCCCATCTAGGACCTTAAGGGCAAAACCAGTGGTCCTGCTACCTCTCTCAGGAACATACAGACCCATAATGGTCCACATGGTGATAACTCTGCAGACACAGAGTGCATGAGCTTGGTACTATGGTGGCCTTCACCTAGGATACCTCAGAGACCCTTGAGACCCAGGCTGAGAATTGTCACAGGAGTGGAGCCACTGCAGAGAGTTCCCACCAGGGCAGTACTTAGTGGAGCCATGGGGGTGCGGCCTCTGCAGAAAGTCCCTGTCAGGGAAGTTCTTAGTGGAGCCATGGGAATAGGGCCACCCCTAAGACCCCAGAACTATAGAACCACCAACAGGTAGCCCCAGCAATTCAACCTGTGATAGCTGCTGCATGAGCAGAGCCCAGCAAAGCCATAGGGGTGGGACTGCCTGAGGCCTAGGGGGCCCAACGCCTACCCTAGTGTGTTCAGGAGGCAGGACATGGAGTCAAGAAAGATTACTCTGGAGTCTTATGATTTAATGTTGTTTACTCTTTTCCCCCTTTTGGAATATGAATGTTCATCTTTTGCCTGTTCCGCCTTGGTGTTTTGGAAGCTTGTAGCATGTTTTGATTTCACAGGCTCACAGCTGGAGAGGAATTTGCCTTATGATGAATTGTGCCTTTAATCTCACCCACAGATGATTTAGATGAGACTTTGGACTTAGACTTTTGAGTTGATGCTGGAATGAGTTAAGACTTTGAGAGCTGTTGGGTTGAAACGAATGTATAAGTTTTGGGAGGCTAGAGGTGGAATACTTCAAAAAAATTTTTTTTTCAATACTGCCCCTTGTGTTGGTGGTAGAATACTATGTTTTGAATGGTTGTCCTTTCCAGAGTCATGTTGAAATTTAATTACCATTGCAACAGTTTTGGGAGATAGGATCTGTAATAATTAATTAGACCAGGATGAGTCCACCCTTATGAATGAACTAATGCTATTATTGCAGAAGTGGCTTTACCCCACTCTTGTTCACTCCTGTCTCCTGCCTCTTTGCCCTTTCACAGTGTGATGCCTACCAACATGTTATGATGCAGCAAGAAGGCTCTCACCAGATGGTGGCATCTTTATAGTGGACTTTTCAGCCTCCAGAACTGTGAGTTCATTCATGAGGGTGGAGTCATCATGGTCTAATTAATTATTACAGATCCTACTATGAGCCAATTCATTTCTGTTCTTAATAAATTACTCAGTCTGTAGTATTCTGTTACAGCAGCATAAAACAGGCTAAGACACTCATCAGTTGTAACAAATCTACTACACTAATCCAAAATATTAATAGAGGAAACTGTGGGGAGAGGTTGGGAGGTGATGTGGGACCTCTTGGTATTTCCCACTCAACTTTTCTGTAAACGTAAAACTGCCCTCCCAAAATAGTCTATTTTTAAAAAATAAAAGTAGTCAAAAATCTAAAAGAAAAAAATTATAGTAGACAGAGATATATGATATCACAAGTATAGTAAAATGTTAATAGTGGTAGTGTATGTGGATGTTCCTTATTATACTCTGCTTTGTGTTTGACATTTTTCATAATAAATGTGTAACAAAGTCATTGTGGGTAATATTAAAAGAAAGCTTAGCATAGTAAGGTTCAGTTGAACCTGTGGGACTTAATTCTAATTCCATTATGGATTTCTCATATGATTCTACTAAAAAATGTAACTTGATTTAACTACTTGAATTACTTATCTAAATTATGAAACCCAGTTGGCCCTGTCTTCAGAAACTAGAATCCAGATAAAATTACCTATTGTTTGTGATGTTAACATGTATTATCCCATCAGCAGAAGAATCTGAGCAGTGCATTGTAGTTTTTTTAAACAATATTGATGATATGGTAGTAGAAACTGAACAGCTACTCCCTGGACTTTGTCAATGTACTTGTTATGACTTAGCACTGTTTTATTTACCATCCAAAAACATATTTTTTATTACTCACTGCAACATGACAATAATTCCAGTTTTGAGTGGTGTATATTTCTCATTATGAATCTAAATACACAGAACGTTTGCTCTGTTTTCAGTCACTAGGCTGCGTGAAAATGGTGTATTAAAAATAGTCTGACATATTTGCATATTTATCTGTATTAAAAGCGTCATGAAACAGTTATTGCAGATACACAGCTGTTGCTTTTCAACTATTTTTTAAAGGAACCATATCTGCTCTCCTATATAAAATACATACATTTTCAAAAGTATCGTCTGAGCCAAATGAATTTCAAAGCCTTAAAGAGGAAAGCTTATCTCAGAGAATTATAAATTTTTAGTCACTGTGTCTAAATGATAAATTTTTAACCTAAAATGATAAACTTGTTCCTTTGCCAAGTCAGATATTATGCATTGTAAACAGAAAGTAATTCTGGAAGCTCCTACAAATTATGGCTGCATTTCAGCATAGAGGCTGTTTACCTACTCTACAGAGCACATAAAAGGATGCTGCTTTATATCAACCACATTACGGAAGAGAAGACTACACTTTGTGACTTAAAATGACAGTTGCTCTTGTAATGTAAAGAAATTTTTATTTTAAGAGCATTTTTAAAATATCTTCATGAAAGACAATAGTATCATCTTTCTTTTCAATTAAAAAGAAAACTGTATGCCTCTGGAATCCTAGCTACTATCATCTTAGTAGTTGCCAGAAAAGGACCCTGATTTAAAAACAATTCTAGTGACTTTCATTATTTTTTAAGGATTTCAATATGGACTCTCTTGGTGTAAGAAAACATACATTTTTTTTCAATTCTGTGATCATATCAGGTTCAGTTGATTGTCATATAATTCAAATAAACACCAGACGTTCTCATTTTAGTATCTTAATTACACTGCTTGTTTTGTTTTAATTAAAAAAAAAAGCTTTAAGCATAGTTGAACAAAAGATCTCACGTTTCATAATTCAGTTTCACCATGTTAGCTAAATAAGAGAGTCCAAAGAAGAGAGGATTATCATATGTTAAATAAAAAGTTGGCCACTTTGTAGCATTAATCCTATTAGAAAAAGATAATTTCTGTCTAACTTAATCAGTAAGAAGTCTTTATTGCCCTGAGTATTAATTGATTAGGTTCTCATTAAGGTCAAAAGTACACTTGACTGACCACAGGCAGCCAATTAGCAAATTGTCAGCCATGCTTACTTATATTGACTGAACATAATGGTAGTTATTTGACTGTCAAGTCAGAAGGTCACTGAATCTTTTGTGCACTTTGCCCTCTGAAAGGGCAACAGTCATTCAGACCCCAGAATGCATTCATAACAAAGATTTAGCTTATTACTTATTGACTTAAATCACCCTTAGAAAAAGGTGTTTCGTTCTCTTTGAACAAATACTATGTTATTTCTTTGTAAAATACTTGAAGTTTGGTTGAAATCCTGTGGTTGATTGTGTCTGAGGATTTTTGTTCAGCAAGCAGCTTGCACTTGAAACTCTAAATAGCTTTTTAAAGAGCAGATCGATCCAATGACTACAGTTGGCCCTCTGTATCTGTGGGTTCTGCATCTGTGGATTCAACCGAGGACTGAAAATATTTGAAAAAAAATGTTGTGTCTGTACCAAGCACGTACAGACTTTATTCTTGTGATTACTCAGTAAAAAAAATACAGTATAACAACTATTTACATAGCATTTACTTTGCATTAAGTATTATAAGTCATCGAGAGATGACTTAAAACATACAGGGAGGATGTGTGTATGCCATTTTATATCAGGGACATGAGCATTCTCAGATTTTGGTATTCAAGAGAGACTCTGGAACCATTCCCCCACTGACACCAAGAAAGAACTGTATATCCCTTTGCAATATAAACTTTTCTCCTGCTATGTGGCTTTGCTCTAATTGTAGAAAGTTGGGCACACAGTTGCTGAAATGGCTCTGGGACACCAGTCTCAAAGTTAACGGTTAGAACCATATTTGAGGCTCACATTAATAAGGACATTGGTGGCCGGGTGCAGTGGCTCACACCTGTAATCCCAGCACTTTGGGAGGCCAAGGCGGGTGGATCGCCTGAGGTCAGGAGTTCAAGACCAGCCTGGCCAACATAGTGAAACCCCATCTCTACTAAAAATACAAAAATTAGCCGGGCGTGGTGGCAGGTGTCTGTAATCCCAGCTACTTGGGAGGCTGAGGCAGGAGAATCGCTTGAACCCGGGAGGCAGAGGTTGCAATGAGCCGAGATCCGCCATTGCACTCCAGCCTGGGCAACAAGAGCAAAACTCCGTCTCAAAAAAATAAAAAATAAATAAAAAATAAGGACATTGGTATGCCTTCTAAATATCCACTGCTGACATAGGAGATTGGATATTTGCTGCCAATCACAGGAGAAATGAAAATGCAAGGTTATCTAATCTAAACCTAAATTTTTGCTTATACTTCAAGTGATTTTTCTCATCATAAAGCATTGCACCTAATTTATATGGTGGTGATGTAACTAGTTACATTTGTTAGCATTTTATTTTTAAAAATTTTTTCTATTTGTCCTCCTCTACTTAACATTATTATCACTTACATTTGCTATTATTGATTCAAATATCACTGATGATTCCATGAGTTAGATTTTAAGGAGAAAATACTTTTGTTTAGCACACCAGTTTTACAAGTTGTGTCTCTAGATCAAATAGAAACCCATGAGTCAGCCTAGGTCCTTTCCTTTACATTCTGTCCTCCCCAAATATACATCTCATCTAGAATCACATGCCATCAGTTCTACTTACTGAATATTGCCAGTAGATATAAGGGCCCTCTATGTCAACCCACTGCCATTGCCCCAGTTCAGCAACTTGTTTTTTGATTGATCAATTGTGGTACCTTTTTACTGGTTTTTCCAAGTGATTCAATGGCCCTCTTGGCATGACTGTCTTCCCACTAGACTATTTATTCAGAGTAGGAATGGTGTATTTTCATATTAAATATCTAGCAAAGAGTTCAGTGCTCAGCACATATAGGCACTTGGTAAAAATTTACTGATTAAATAAGTAAATGACCATAATTAGTTTTATGCTACATGTAACTGTAACCTGTGATAGAATAATTTGTTATAATTTAAGAACTCATTAATCTCTTTACTAGTATTAAATTATTCATTAGTAATTTATCAGACTATTGTAAGAAGCAATAAGTTTTAATTCAGTCATGTGACTAAACCAATAGCATTGAATATGAAAATAAAGTGAGAGTCAGAGTTGAAGAAAAAATTACTGTTATAATTCATGAATAATTAAGCTACCAAGTATATAAAGAAAACAAATCTATATACTATCAAAACATCTGCTTTGTTTGTGAGATCGTATGGTTTTCAAATGATTCAACATTAGAGATTAACAGTGACTATTGGTATATTGTCTGCAAAATACTAAGCATTCTATATACAGACAGCATAATTGTCATTTCACAGATAAGAAAACTGGTTTCACAGGGTAACCTGTCCAAAGGCCCACAACCCAGGTCTTGCTGGCTCTAAAATTCAAGCTCTATCTACCATGCTAATCTGACTCTAACTTTGCATTATTCTTTAGAATTTTGGAAAAGCTATTTAACTCTCTGAAACTGTACTAACTTTGCTGAAACTGTACTAAATGTACAGAAACTTTCATATCCAATGTTGGATCAAGTACTAGAGCCAAAGATAAGAAAGATGCCTATGGAAATTAAAAGTAATATGACTTAGTAGTTAAGACTGCACAGGCACTGCCATCAAACATCCTTATAATTGTGTCCCAGGTTTGCCGTGTCCCACCTGTGAAACCTTGAGTGATTTACTTGACTTCTCCAAGTTCCAGTGCACTTGTCGTTAAAATAGGTATAATAATAGTGCCGACAGTGGCTTTGTGAGAATCAAATGAAATTATGCAGGTAAAATGCCTAGCGCATTAAATGGCATATGATAATGGCTCAGTAAATGGTAGCTGTTGTTAAAGATTTTCAGCTGGGTGTAGTGGCTAGCACCTGTAATCCAAGGCAGGAAGATTACTTGAAGCCAGGAGTTTAAGACCAGCCTGGCCAACAAATCAAGACTCCATCTCTACAAAAAAAAATTTTTTTTAATTAGCTGGGTGTGGTTGTGCACGCCTGTGTTCCCAGCTACTTGGGAGGCTGAGACGGGAGTAAGAGCCCAAGAGTTTGATGCTGCAGTGAGCAGTGATCACACCACTGTACCCCAGCCTGGGCAACTGAGTGACACCCTGTCTCTAAAAAAAAGATTTTCCACCAAAATAAATAGTTTAGGTTATATGTACTTCCTTATTCTATGTTAAATCTGTGTGTTCTGGTATTGCATACTTTTATGAGTCATATATTACTCTGACATCTAGACAATCATCTGTTCATAAATTCAAGTTAAAGATAAGTTATATAAATATTTGTTAGGGACTCTTGACTCTGACATTCTCTACCAAGTGGGCAAGTGGCACAGAGAGTATCTTGTGCATTTGCCCACTTGGTAGGTAAGTCAACTGTTCCTCTTCCCTCATGATGCTTCTTAAACATGCCATAAAAGGCACTAATGGTAAACTATTTGGTGAATTATTGCACAAGATGGTGTTATGATAATTCACATACTCAATTCACAGGTGGAGCAGAGGGCTGGCCTAATCTGACTTTCATGTTACAAGGATCACTCAGGTACTGGGTTGAGCATAGATTCTTGCGAGAGTAGAAGCAGATGGACCGATTAAGAAGTTGTATCCAGGGCCAAGCGTGGTGGCTCACACCTGTAATCCTAGCACTTTGGGAGGCTGAGGCAGCTGGATCACCTGAGGTCAGGAGTTCGAGACAAGCCTGGCCAACATGGTGAAACCCCATCTCTACTAAAAATACAAAAAATTAGCCGGATGTGGTGGTGATGCCTGTAATCCCAGCTACTCGGTAGTCTGAGGCAGGAGAATCACTTGAACCCGTGAGGCGGAGGTTGCAGTGAGCTGAGATCGTGCCGCTGCACTCCAGCTTGGGTAAGAAGAGTGAAACTCTGCCTCAAAAAAAAAAGTTTTATCCGTGATTCAGATGAAAAATGATAGTGGCTTGGATCATAGTGGTAACATTGAACATGATGAGAAGTGGTTGGATTCTGGATATATGTTGAAAGTAGAACAGTATATCCTGGCAGATAGAAAGTGGGGAGTAATAGAAAGAAAGGATTAGAGGAAGATTCCAAGGTTTTGGGCCTGAGCAACATAAAAACATGAGAAGGAGGAAAATCCTTCCTTACGTACTTTGTGCTTCTAATGATTCTGTATATCATCTCTGTTTCAGCTTTCATTCTACTCTCCAAACTGGTGAAGACTCAACCAGTTCTAGTGGCATTGTGAATGCTCTTAGTAAATTCAGAGTAGCCCTATGAAAATCACTTTACTAGCTGTCACTTTTGAGGACACCACCGCCTGTAGTACTGAATGAGCAATGTAACATCAACATGAGGATACTTGGGACACCCAGAAGAATTAGAAGACATAGCCTCTCTCTTCTTTAAGCCTTTTTTTTTTTTTTTTGAGACGGAGTCTCGCTCTGTCGCCCAGGCTGGAGTGCAGTGGCGCAATCTCAGCTCACTGCAAGCTCTGTCTCGCGGGTTCACGCCATTCTCCTGCCTCAGCCTCGCGAGTAGCTGGGACTACAGGCGCCCGCCACCACGTCTGGCTAATTTTTTGTATTTTTAATAGAGACGGGGTTTCACCGTGTTAGCCAGGATGGTCTCGATCTCCTGACCTTGTGATCCACCCGCCTCGGCCTCCCAAAGTGCTGGGATTACAGGCGTGAGCCACCGCGCCCGGCCTCTTCTTTAAGCTTTATTGTGTATTTCACCACGTAGGATAGGTAAGCACTGCGTGGGTTTGGACCTTAGGCACAGGGCCTGGGGGTGGCAGTTGGTGCTTTCAGTTGACTTTGGATCTTTGTGTGATGTAATTGGGGTCCAGGTGAGATGGCTTTGGGGAAGCAAGGCCAAGAAATATTAAGTCTCAAGAGTTCAGCCAATCAGGAGGAAAAGACCTGTCCCAGGATATTGTGTATATTTTTCCAGTTAACTGAGAAGATATTCTTAGACCTTTTTTTCTAAATATTTAAGAAAAGCCTGCTATGGCCTTAAAGTACTAACATCAGGTCTAGTGGGGAGGTGGGGGAAAGATTAATATGTATGAAGAGAAATACAAATAAGTGTAAACAAGCATAAAAACGTGTGTTATAACAAAAGTTCATATCTACAATGAATTATCTTTATTATGCTTTTTCCTTCTTTATTTATGGACTTAATTTGCTGTCATCTTAGGCAACTACTGTTAACGGTATCTCATTTGATAATTTGATGTTGACATCTCTCTTTTTTCTAAATTTAGTTGAATGCAAAGAGAAGCTTTGAAATGCAAATAGGAGATCATTTCCCCTGCCCTTAAGAAAGGTTGGAACATGACAAACCTTGAATCAGTCTTGGAAAGAATCATGTAATTACAGGAAAGTGTGAGAATTCCAGGCCTTACCTCAGACAGATAAGGACTAGCTATACATGAAACGCAGACTGTGGCTAACTTTAATTCTTTCCCAAATCAGATTTTCATGAGACATTTTCAGTTCTTTCAGTGAGGCAAATGAATTTCTTTAATATTTTACATATCCATTGTTAAAATTCAATGCAAAAACAACTCTAATGTCAAATATAAATTATTTTGTTGTTAAGTTTAATTTTGAATAATCTTCTTCTCTTTTCTTTGGCATTAGAACAAATTGCAATTACTGAAGTCCAAAGAATTATAAAGCACTATTTAAGCATTTACATTAGATATCAAAATTGAAGAATACAAAGACTAGTTTATTAATGGAGTAAAGTTTCTGAGATAAGACGGAGCCAGTTTTAAAGGTTTTAGGAAGGAAGTACAATACTCAGTTTTAGAAGGAAAGGAGACAACACGATTTGGCAATGACTTAGACTCATCATAAAAAGTACTATTTCAGTTGTCTTTATAATTCAACCTAATAATATGCTTTGCTCTTTAATGAAAAGTATATTTCCTATATCTCTATGGGTGCACTTCTCTGAGACTAAGCAAACTATTTGTAAAGGGTGATTGAATTGAAGAGGAATCATATTTTTTTAAACGATCTTTCCCCTGCCCTTTGTATCACAGAGGCTGAATCGGTCCTGGGCACTCAGCATTCTCAGCATTGGATCAGCCCTAACCTGCTTGTATTTCTTTTGCTGCAGAGCATAGACCCATAATCCTGGATCAAACATGTTGAAGTCTCACTCTTCCATCTACTCAGGTTGACCTCTAACAAAATTCTGTTTTTCTCTCCATTTGTCTGTGAAAAGAGTTTTCATTCTAAACTCTTCCAATTTAACAAAGGGAAAAGGTTAACAAGAAAGTAAATCCCCCCTCCAAAAAAAAAAGTGGTCCACAGTTTCCCACTGAATTGGAGCCAAAAACTCTGCCAGTTTTGCTCTCATATCTCCAAGCTGTACCCTGACCCTTCATATGACCAGTGGGGCTTGTGGCACAAGATGTATCTGGGCGCCTTTCTAAAAGTGCTATCTTCGTCCATATTTCAAAACACTCACAGATATTTTATCATTAATTAGTATTCATATTATGTCTCAAACAATCTGTTCAAGAATAGGGGAAGTGAACTAGTTGAACAGCTCTTCTGTTTGTCTGGTAATTAACATGGGTGATGTATGTAGAGCCGAAGGCCTTATAAGGGGAGGAGGTGGTCAAGTGTTGGGCAGGTAATCCCTGGAACATTTAAATGCTTACCTATTTTGGATGCTGGGCTACTCCAAAAAAAATTGTACTTGGCAAACAGGGTGGGGAGACACAGGCCTTTTTAAAAATAGAGCCATGCCTCTTTGATTCACAGCATCCTGGATTTGCTTTTCATCATGTTAACATGCCACTTGGGAGCTGGCTGGACTCCCTTGTTCAGTGACATATATTTCATAGTGTTTTTTTAAAAACCATTTGTTCTTTCAACCACAACATGCTTTGAATTTCTCTTTCAAATTTGAGGATGTATATATAGATTGATCAAAACAATATTTTTAACATTCCAAACAATTTAGAAAGATAGTGGATGGGTGTCAGTTAATGTATTATGCTCCTCTCTTCCTCCTCCCCCTCTTCAGCTGCTAATCTTAGAACTTGTGTGCCAAATTGTGTAAGATATTCTTCCAATAGCTACATGTGTGACTCTTTTGTGAGCTCTACAGACAGTTATGAGGACAGATTTGGAGTTGCATATGGGACTGTCACATGGTTTGATTTCCTTGTCTTCAGGCACTGAGATTTCTTTTCACTGAGCTTTAATACTGAGGAATTTTTAGTTGTGGTAAAAGTTTAGCAAAGTCTCTATTAAATAATTTACACATTCTGGGAATAGGGAAAGGAAAAAGTTTTTATTCACCACCACTCTGTATTCGGGATCTATATATACTAAATAGTTCATGTGTTTACTCTTTCCAATAGTGAAAAAACAGGGTTTTATCACAGAATTTTTATGAAAACCAGAAAAGAGTAAAGAGCCTTTATTATCTCCTTGCTCTTTTGGAGCAAGATCTAGTAAACGTCTCAACAGAAAAAGTAGCAGATGCTTTGTAAAAAGGTCTCATATCACTTATGTCCAATTATAGAGGCTGATTTGCAAAAAAAAAAAAAAAAAAAAAAAAAAAAGTGATCTATCTATGTCCTTAGAAGCCAAAAATTCCATGGCATTAGTCTGTGAAATGATAAGATGCAAATTCATTTTCAACTTTAAAGACACATATTTGAAATCTTGCTTTCATGACCTGAAACCCACAGCCCCTATCCCATAAACACAGTGCCACCCTTGAGGAACACACAGACTTGAAGGAAGATCTTTCTCCTAGTCCTATTTTAAATGTTCCTCAAGGATAAATAATATCCTAGTAAGATCTGTGTCCAATTAATTGGGGCATATATTATGATATTATAAAAGTATTAATCACATATACTCAGAACTAATTCTTTTAAGGCCCAGCATGTGACTGGGTTTTAAAATAGTGCATGACTGTTTATACACTATTTAAAATAGTGTATGACATATGAAGTAGTGTATGACTGTTCATCCTTGTATTAATTTTGCCCTCTAAAACAAATACAGTGGTTAATTATTCCCGCTGTACCTTTATTGGTCCATGAGTAAACTCAGTCAACTTCGTTGCACTGGGGGCAAAGTCTTAATTCAGAAATAATAATGATGGCTAATAACAATATAATAATAAATTGCTACATTTCTTGATTCCCTGCTCTGGCTCTAAACTCTATATAATAGATATTTTATATACATCTAATCCCCAGAATAACCTACCAAAGTAGATATTATCACCATTTGTCCAGTTAAGTAAGAACTCGGGTAATAGCTTGAATGAAGAGAGTAGTGTTTTCTTATTTTAGTCCTTAATTTCCCTTTCCTGTATCAGGTTGGAGAAGTCCTGTATCTTACTGGGCAAATTGCCCTGGTACCTTGCACAATGAAATTTGTTCGTGGTGGAATACAAACAAAAGCTACTCTGTCCTTAAGCCATACCCTGAAAATCCTGGAAGCTACACATGGAAGCACCAGACTTCAGCACACTTTCATGGCTCACTGTTATGAAATGTTATGTTAATGAACAGCCAGCTCACTGCCACTGCTCTGGATACCTGGCAGAACTTAAAGACCCATTAAAAGGTACCTATAGTATCTATTTTATTTCTAGCCTACCAAAGAGCAATTTATGAAAAGGTTTTATTCAGACAATATCAAGTCTCAGTGCACTTCATAAGGGTTTGAACTAAATCTGGAATAATAAGGTTTGATTGAGCTGTTGTGTTCTGCCTCGTAATTGGCTGTGCACAATTGAGAAAGAAAATTACTTGATAGAAACTTATAGTCATCACTAATTTTATCTTAATTCCCCAATGCAATAAGTTAAGAGTTCTGTACAAGAAGCTTAAAGTTTTTAGAAACTGTTGAAATATACTATTTAAAAATATTTCTGCCCATGTATCACATTATACTTTCTGGTGAGGGAGGCAATTTTTCTGATATTTTATTCACTTGTGCTAAGATTCATCTTATTTCTCCAAGAACATTTAAAAAGGACCACATTTTTTCCATTCTTCTAAAATAGTAACTGAGTTTTTGTTTTCTAACATGATATCTGTGCCCTGGTGTGGGGTTGGAACTTTTAGTTATCCCACAGGTATCAAAAGTAGTTTCTGAAATATATTGACTTTAGATTATGCCATAATTTATACTATCACATCATCAGAAAGTAAGACTTTTAAGTTAAACAATTGAGTGAGCTGATGATTAGAATATAGAAGGAACAAGAATCTGTTCTTTGTTGAGGTTAAGAACTACATTAGCAATACCATCATTATTTGCAGATAATATTATCTACCTAGTAAACCCATGAGACATGAACTATGAGAAAAATTAATATGAGTTAAATAAGATTGCTAAGTAAAAAGGAAATATAACAAAAATCTTTTATCTTCTAACTATCAGCAGTAACCAACTTAAAAAATATAATGGGGGAAAAAGACCACGTGCACAGTAGCATGAAAACTATTAAGAAATTTCAGGACTGCTCTAAAGAAAACCATAAATCTTTCTGGGAGGATGACACATTTAAAAAGTGAAAAGATATACCTTGTTTCTGATTTAAAATAATTTAAAGATACCTGCTTTCTACAATTTTATTTTTAAAATAAATTTAATTTTATTAGAATCAAGTCTCCCATGGAATACACTTAACAAAATGGTTCTGAAGTGGATATAAAAAAGAATAAAGCTGGCAAAAACAGCCTGAAAGTTTTTGCCAAAAGAAGAAATAAGAGGGGTATGGGGAAAGAGAGGAGGAAGAATAAGAAAGTCTTACACCGCCAGATATTAAAATATATTGTAAAGATACAATTAAAATCATGTAGCACTGGCATAGTAACAGATAAGAATCAGTGGCTCAAACACGACATTTCTCTAAATTATGTGCTTTCACATTTGTGGAAGTGCTAGTGTCTCTTTTGATCAGAAGGGAAGATGAGGTCATGCTGCCTCTTGCAGATTTGGCAAACCTTTTTTGGAGTTAGTACCCTGGTTTTCCTGAATGAGCCTTCTAGATGCTGCACCTGGTAACAGGTGGCGTTTGCAAGCAGTCAGCTCTAGCTGCCTCTTAATTTGATTATGACACTTGTGGTTTTAATGAATCTGATTGTGTCTGAGGCTTGCTTGCATATCTGAGAGTCTTTTCCCATAACTCCTGGGGTCTATGGAATTCTTGTAAATGTTGCTTTCTTCGATTGATAGAGAAAATACTTTCTGAATTTGTGCTTTATTTTAATTTATTTTTGCTGCGGCTGACACATTTGAAATTGAGTTATTTCACAGAATCTCCCCCGCCACCACCTCCAGGGACTTCGTTTGGTATTCAATGTAAGCTAAAAATAAAATGATATAAAATTTCAAATTATTTAAGCTAAACTTAAGTTTTACTATAGAGTAAACATATTTATTCATAATGTATTTCTTCTTACTTATCCACAGATGTGGATCCCAATTTAATATGAGTTTCACCAGTAAACAGTTTGTAGAATATTTTCAGTGAGGCTAGTAGGCAAAACAAGTTCTGGTCATCGTAATAGAGCTTGAAAAATAAAGGTAATTTCTAGGCATGCCAACTATACTCATCTTATAACTAAATGTATTGCAAATTCCCACATCAAAAAGAAAATTTGAGAATTCCGGTTAGTGGTATTTAATTTCCAGTTTAGTTAATGTCAAGTTAGGCACTACTTACAGTAATTTGCTACAGAATCATCATCTGTCATTATTTTAAGAAAATACATTTATAGCTAAGAAGAAAATTAGTTTGGGAAAGATCATTTTGCTCAGTTGAAATCTATAGACTGTATTGCAAGGTATAAAGAATGTATCTAATTTTGCTTTAAAAACAACTTGCTATTAGAAGTTAAATTATCATTTTATAATTTTCTATGAAGTGAAAGAAAAGTGTTTTTAATTTAGTTACCCCTGCCTAAAGGATATTCTCATGGGGATGATTATTATAGTAATAATGGAGTGTATTCTTATTGGAATGATTATTATAGTAACCAAAACATATCATAATAAGCCATTATACTCTTTCCAGGAATCTTTTGGTTCTTTGGTTTTCTTTGGAGGTGCTAAGTGAGTACAGGACTGACACAATATTATTCAACATGCAGATACTTTTTAGGATCATAATGTTGGTTGTTTTTACTAATTCAGGCTGGGTTTGATGGCTTATGCCTTTAATTCCAGCACTTTGGGAGGCCAGGTGGGAGGATCCCTTGAGCCCAGGAGTTCGGGACCAGCCCTGGCAAAATAGCAAGACCCTGTCTCTACAAAAAAACCAAAAAATTAGCTGGGCATGGTGGCACACACCTGTAGGCCCTTCTACTTAGGAGGCTGAGGTGGGAGGATCACTTGAGCCTAGGAGGTCACAGCTGCAATGAGCTATGATCGCACCTCTGCATTCTAGCCTGGGCAACAAAGTGAGATTCTATCTTAAAAAAAAAAAAAAAAAAAAAAAAAAGCTTTACTAAATTGATTTGACAGTTTCAAATTAAGTATTATCTTGTGTTTCTCCTTTTTCCATATCTTTTTAATGGCAGTGTGATATGATATGATGGTTTTATGAGTTGTTATACCTCATTCATCAGAGTAATCAACGGGGAAAGGAGGCTTATGGGTTGTAGTCCATTTGTATTGGATAGGACAGATGGCATTATTGATAAATGGAAATATTCCAAATATTTATTGTATAATAATATTACAAGGACTCTGAGTTCTGAATTTTAATACCTTTAGTTTCTAAAGTAATTGGCAAATAAAGTAATTTATTTAGTTACCATGTATCCATTTAATCATATCAGTGTGTGAATTTAGCATTAATTATCTTTCAGTTAATATGTGGTGGGTATTTCTCTTTCAAGGCTTTGTGCTTACTTATCTGAATTCTGACTAAGCTATCACTTTGGTCTTGAGTATTTTAAAGTTAAAAACAATATTTGGAGCAGGCACTTACTAAGTTCAGGATAGGATCTCAGAAGTGACAGAAGCAAAGATTCCACAGCATTTCCCCTGCATTATCACCTTTGTCCTGTAGGAGGCAGAGAGGGAAAGAGCAGTCTTAGGTCTCTTTACATTTGCCTCTTGCATAAATTTCTACTCTCAATAGATTTCCTAAAATTATGTTCTAATATAACTGTGGACATAAGGACATAATGATGTGATTCAGGTTCCAATTAAATTTTATTTTCTCAATTTGGAATTCAGTCATTTGAAGAAGGGTTAACGCTGGTGTAGTATCCTTAATGTACCAGCCTCCAAAATGTTTGGCATCATTCCAAAATCATATTCACACTGGTAAAAATAAACAAAATCCAGAGGACTTCACTTTTTATCATATATATTTTTGTATTGTTTAAATGCATACTAGAAGCATATAGCCATGCCTTATTTTCGCAATCACAAAGTTACAAATGATAGTTTTAGTCATTCTAAAACTTCTACTACCATTGCTTTATTTCTTAAATACTACCAAATCTGTTACTGAAGTCTGGCACGTGTTTAAAGACTGCTAGGAGCTCTCTGATAGTACCTCAAGGTGGCTTGCTATTTTATTTAGAAAGCAATATAAGTTATTTAATGGTAGTGACCACTTTTTCCAAACTAAGAATCAATACATATTGCCCGACAGTGGGATTATTTTTTAAATTGTGGATTTGTTATTGTGAAAATATTACAAAGGTTAAAAACTAAAGGTTTTTACATGTAGTTATAAATTTGTTATTACCTTCATTAATGACTGACACCACTCAATTCTCAGTATTTATTCTAGCACACTGTCTTGCAGATAGCAAAAACTCAATGTTGATTGCTATATTGAGAAATAAAACAGAATGGTGTACATCCAAAAAGACAATTGGAAATATAAAAATTTAGTTATATGCTTTCAAAATAGTAGTGTAATCCCACTAATCAAATAGAAACTCTATACTAAATTTTGATAAGATCAATCTTTTTAAAGGATTCTTATAAAAATAGGCTATGTAAATTATATTGAAAGAATAAGTTGGCCAAGTTTTATTTAATTTAAAATATCTTATCGTGTTCAATGGGCCAAGAGGATAAAGTAAGTTAGACCTATGTAAACATATCCCATTCAAGGTAGACTCTGCTGTATGAGTTAGGTCAAAATAACAGCAGTTGTGTTTCTACTGCCCTGGCAAGTACAAATGGACAAAATACACCCTGATAACTCCAGATACCTTCAAAACTCTAGGATACTTCAATGATTAAAATGGCATAGAGAATATTCTGATAGAACTCTCAGGACCAATAATAAACCAACAAAGAGACCAGCATTCATTGAATTGGTATGGAATTTGAAATATTCTACATGTATTTTGTTTTTTAAAAAAATCAAACTCTAAGTAATATAAAAGACGTGTATTTTGTGGTTAATAAAGCCTTTTATGTCCTTTATTTATGGAATCACATATGTGAGTGCTTTCCAATAGAATTCAGGAAGAATTTTTACTCTGAACTTTGTATCTACACTTGCAGCCCTTAACCTTCCCTGATCTTTTCTCAGTTTCTCACTATCTGTGTTTCTCTCTCTTCCTTTGTCTCTCTTCCTTCTGTATTCACTTATACATTGAGAGACAGCAAAATGCAGACAGACACAAACACAGCTATTACTTTGAATAACCAAACAATAAAACTTCCTCGCAGGCAACTCTTCAATGTGGTTATGTTGTGGTTGTTTTAGGAAGATTTCATTTCTCCCCTATTATTTTAAATTTTGTATGTTGGGAGAGACTATGTTATATCACTTCTTTGAAGGAGAAAAGAAAAAGTCTAGAATGGAGGAGTTTGATTACATTTATAGTGATTCAATTACTCCTTTTACTGTATTTTGCTAGAGGTTTTTCTCATGAAAGTTCTTATCCAGAGTTTTGGGCATAACCCATCTTGTCCCCTCAAAAAAGATCATACGTTCCTAAAAATAAGACATGAAAACTACATCTCAGCATTTAATTTGTGTTCTTAGAATTATATATGGCCTCCAACATTTTTTTAGACAAACTAAGAATATTAAAATTGCATTTCAGATAACCAAGTCCTGGATGAAAGCAAATTTTCTTTATATTTTAAGGGCACTAGAATATGTATCCAACTAATCTTCTTTAAAGATGTCATATGCTTACAGGGGAAATAATAAGAGGACGCCCAATAACAAATTTCTAAATTTAGCCCTGAGTTATTTGGACTTTGCTTTAATCAAATTTATCTGAAACAAATTTTTTTTCCAAGCCTTAATTTCTGAAGACAGGATGATAGTAATTGATCATGCTGCTGAATACAAAATAAATTTTGGCATATTAAGGCAGTGTATAAGCTGACATTCTTTAACAAAAGCAGCCTGTCAACTATGGTGCACTTAAGTACAGGAAAGATTGATGTTTGCCAAATGTAAAATCAGAGAGAAGAAAAAATGTTTTCAAGTTTAGAGGATTGCTAACAATGAAAGAGAAAAATAAATAAAAGTGTAGATGTACAATATTGTTATACCTTGTCAAGGAACTGTTAATTGAAAACAGGCCTCCTTTTTAAAAACATAATATAAGATCTCCACCAAAAGACTACTGAAGAGCCTGACAATTAATGAAAAAGTAGAATTTTAAAGGTATAAAGTGATGGCTGACATTAACAAAAATTGTGCTGTTACATTATCAAAATGCTATGCCCTAGATTGCATTGTCAGTGCTTTCCTACAGATTAATTAACATAATTGGTTATGTTATTAACAGAAAGCTGAGTTTTGAAAAATATCAGTATGAAATCATGTGATTCATAAATTTAATCATAAATTTAATAGCTAAAATACTCCATCATAATTTTAATAGCTAAAATACACAGGTTGCTATTTATTTATTCTGCATATCAGGTTTATGACATTTATTTGGTAGCTATATATTGTTTTGAATTTGCAATAATTTGAGTTATTAAAATGCAGTTTACTTGTGATCCATGTTGAGAACATACGGTACATTCATATGACTAGGTAGCATTGGATCTTTCATCTCAGAGTGATATGTTTCATTTGTAGTGATTGTAATGAGAATATTTAACGTGGGTCAAATGGGGAATAGTGGCACCCTGGAAGTGCTTATAAATAAATTTCTTTTTTTTAAATATATCATTCCACAGTGGAATTGAAAAAGATTACCACTCCTTGTTTAAAGATGTTATATTGTTTTATTTTTGTGAATCCAATGAAATGTCTGGCAGAAAAGAACACAAATTGCTCAAATGAATTTTAGAAAATAAGACATCTGAATCAAGCAGTAAGACATTTTAAATACATGAGATACTATCAACAATGTTTACCTACAGAAAATAAGATATTTATATCTATATCTATATAACTTTTAAAAACTAGTAATGTTTCCTTTTTATTCCCATGATGGAAAGTGAACAAAAATTATATTTATTTGCCCACAGACATGGGAAAGAAATACCTGGCAGAGCTATGTACCACAACAGATTTTTTTAGACTTCTTTTTCCCTGAAGCAATCTTTTTATTTGAGCACTGTAAGTGATTTTCCATCTTTCTCACTGAAGTGCTCAGGTATATTAGCGCCTCTCTCCTTTTCAGGACATTGACTCTGTTAAAAGCAAGAGAAAATACGTTATTTCTGTGTGCTGGTTGTGTCTCCTCTCATGTTTAAAAAATAATAATAATTGCTGAACAAGATCAGCCTGCATACAAAAACTGACCTGTCACTGAATGACCAGATACTGAAAACGCATTTAAAAATTATATTTGATTGAATGGTATCACCTGATCTTAGAGAACGATGCTGTACAAAAGAATGCTAGTGTCAATAAAATTCATTGAGCTCTAAATGATATTCTGAAACTGCTTTAGAGCTAAAACATATCCAGTGACTGCTCAGGGCTCGTTTACACTGTCTTGGAAGAATATGATAAGTTGGGTCAATGTTACAGGTGTAATAGGCTAAAATAATACATTTTCTAATACAGTTGCAGGCTTCTCCCCTAAGTGGAAATTTATTTATGTTGAGCACATTCTAGATTGGAAGCTTGTTTTGAACATTCCAATAAATAGAGCAGTTACTTCAGGAAACACAGAACTTGTTGCTTCCTCTAAGAATTATTAAAGAAGGTGAGGCCTTCCATTTGGTAAACTCTCTGTGGTAACATGAAAGTTCTGCTGTATAGCCACCATCCTTGATCTTCTCAATACCATTAGGAGTGAATTAATACAGTTACTATTTATTGTTTATGCATGATGAAGGCCTTTCAAACGTGCCTAGGAAACAGCCACTATATTGTAAATAGCAGAGACAGTCTACATCAATATCTGGAATGAGGCAAGAATGCACAGAATTCTATATTTTAAGATTATATATAGATAGATTATATCTGTAATTTAAGATTATGCTGGAAGTTCTAGACAATTCAATACTGCAATGAACTTATAAAAGATGTGCTACAAAAAAGGAAAACAAATTCTCATTTTCAGGAAATATATAATCAGGGCTTATTCACCCTATTTCAGAAGAATATGCTAAGTTGAGATAATGGGAATGGACTGACATAACAGACTTTTTCTAGTACAGTTTCAGCCTCCTACCTTACATAAATGTATAGTGACGTTGAACACATTTCAACATAGAAAAACCCAAATGGATCAACTAAAAAAACCACTGGTACTGAAAAGAATTAATTAAAATGGCAGGATAGAAAATATATAATATATTTTAAATTTTAAAATTCATCACTATCTTGATTTGGGGGTGGGAAAGAAGAAAAATAAATTTGTGGTAATAATCTCAATTATAAAATATCCGGTAATATCCTGAATAAGAATTGCACGAGACTCTTGTCTGGAAAGAATTATAAAACTTTATTGAGCAACATGCAAAAAGACAAATAAATGTCAAGAATTATGCCTCTAAATGGGAATATTGTAAAGATAGCAATTAATGTACAGGTATGCCTTTAGTATATCAGGCAAAATCCTAGTGGTATTATTTTAAAAACGTGAAATAACTTTTTAAATGGTTAGCATTCAGAATAGCAAAAGATAATTTTTAAAACATTATAAAGGGGAATAGAATTGATTAAATATGAAAATGTGTTCTTGCACTACAATATTTAGAGTGGTATGGTACTACTGCACCTAGAATCCATACAAAGATCAATCGAATGGAACAGATAAACATAAAACTAACCCCAGTATTTCTATGAACCAAATATGACTAAAGAATATTCCAATAATAGATAGGGTAGATTATCTGGTGAAGGATAATATAAGATTTTGCTAGAATTTGGGGAGAAAAAAAGAATGATACAATGAAATTCAGACATCAAGTATAATTTTTGCAGAATTTTAAATTAAATATAAATACTCATAAAATAGAAAAAATATGAAAATATTTATACAGTATGAGCCTAGTCAGGTAAAATATGTGTGTATACATATGCACATGGAAAATCAACTGGTAAGTATTATACCAAAATGATAGAAATGGTAAAAAAAAAAAAAAAAAAAGGGAAATTATTGGTATAATTGCAGGTGATTTTAGTTTTCTTTTTTATATATTTTTATAATTTACAACTTTGTTCTTTAATTATAATATATTCTACAATTAGAAAAATAAGTTATTCTCTTTGGTCCTTAAAGCAATCATCATGTTATCCAAGTACATACCAAATATTAAGTATTTTTTACATAAAACAATTTCAGACTTGCTTCAAGATGATACAATTTTGTCATTTTTATTTTTATTATTTTTTTCTTTTTTTAATCCATGAACAGATGCATGGATGTTGTTGTTTTTAATCTCCAAAATAGGAAGACTTTCCTTTTCTTCCTCCTTTATGGTATATAATTAGAATGAGAACTGGAAGCAGGGAGCACACAGCAATACTCACCATTGTCTTTCCAGCACCTAGCACAATGCCTAACACATAGTAGGCATGCAGTAAATATTTGACTAAAGAAATAACTAATTAATTAATATAAAACTAGCCAATTTTCAAAGAATATTGATGAAATTATTCTTTCAAATAATCTTTTTTAATGTCAGTCTTTTTTTAGGATACAGTCCAACAAAGGAGTTTCAATGCTAGTATCTAATGTAGACCAATTCAAAATGTTCCTGCTTTTATTTGTAGACCACTTCTCTAGACACAGTATGCAAAAAGCAAGATTTGAAAAGACCAAAGAAACATCTCACCACCTTCCATTTTGCCAGAATTCCATTTTGCCCCAGAATTCTGTAATCTTCCTGGGAAATTTTTGTTTGGAAGACAAATCTCCCTTAAATTATAACACCACGTATTGTTCCAAACTCTCTCTCATCATCTTTCTTTCTCTGTTTTCCCTAGAATCTCTGGGCATTTGGCTTGCAGATGGAGAACCCAAGCCAATTTCTTTTGAGGAGGTTTATTTCTTATTATTATTTCTTATTTATTTCTTATTTTTTTGGAGGAAGCCACAGTGACTTCCTCCATGGGAAAAGAGAGAGACCACTATACTGTACCTCTACCTTGGAGAGCTCAACTTTTAATTCTTAGAGAGCCATTTTGCATTAATAGAAACTCCCTGGGATCTGCACTGTAATGACATCACAATTTTGGATGCTCTCTAAGCCCTGGTGGCCTCATCTTGAGAGAGGTATTTTTTTTTTTCTTTCTTCCATTACATATGCACTCTCCTATTTCCAGGACAACAGTATTGCCCTGTTCTGTTCAGAGAGGTACTTTTCCCACCAAAAGCCATTTTGTCTTGTGTTGTAGTCAAATATCCCCATTCTTTTTTTTTTTCTGACATAAGCAATCTCTAGATAAAAACTTGATAATCTGTCATCTTTGATTTACATTTTAAAATAGCATGATATGAAAAAGAATCATTCTAGAAGTCAAGAAATTTGGATTCTTGTCCTTACTGTTTTTCTCTCAGCCAGATGTTAAAATGCATAGCAGTTAAATGAACTGTAGTCTCAATTTTTCTTAAGAAATATCTAAATATCTTCTACCTCTAACAATCTTTGATTATTTCATTAATTTTTTGCTCAATGAATGGCATTTACTGAATTCTTAATTTCCTAGTATTATGTAAGGTATTTATTTGGGATACACAAATGACTGAGATTCTCTTCCATTATACAAGATTCATTGCTTTCTTCATGAAACTGTGAGGGAGACAATTATTTTATAACTGAAATGTTTAATCTTGATTTCTGACTGAGCTTCTTAGGGACTTTTTAAACTAGAGCATTAAGTTTCATGACATCATTCTGTCAAGAAGACAACAAATTCGCTGGGCGTGGTGGCTCACGCCTGTAATCCCAGCACTTCGGGAGGCTGAAGTGGGTGGATCACCTGAGGTCAGAAGTTAGCCTAGCCAACATGGTAAAACCCCATCTCTCCTAAAAATACAAAAATTAGCTGGGCATTGTGGCGGGCGCCTGTAGTCCCAGCTACTCGGGAGGCTAAGGCAGGAGAATTGCTTCAACCTGGGAGGTGGAGGTTGGAGTGAGCTGAGATTGCGCCATTGCACTCCAGCCTGGGCAACAAAAGTGAATGAAACTCCATCTCTAAAAAAAAAAAGAAGAAGACAACAAATTATTTTTTAAATGATTCCTGTACTTAAAAGTATTTGAAGTGTTACTATTTATAGGAATGCATTTATACTTTTATAATCACATCCTGGCTGTACTTATAGTAAGACGCTACCTATATTCATCTTGTAAGAATCACTTTTGATCAAGCAACTTTCTTGCATGATGATTTTTCAGATAAAGACTTTTGGGCCTGTTACACTATTACTTTCAAAACATATGAAGATACACCTTTGGTGTCTTTTAAGAAAAACTTAGTACATTTCATATTTGTTCACCAGTTGAAATTGCTTTTAAAGGAAAGAATAGCCAGATTGCTTTCCAAGATGAATAGTACTGTCTTACACTTGACTCGAAGAGTAGAATAAATGAATAATTTTGTATGCAAGTTTCTTGGTTTACTTACAACTTTCTGCTAAGACTCCAGAGACCTTTAAGCAAGGATTCCACCAATTACATTTGTTGTCTGTATGTGTATATATTTTTTCCAGAAAGCATATGTTAGTAGGGCTATTAAGCAATTAGCTTCATGCATATAGATAGTTCATTTTGCACCAAACCATATGATGTGATTGGAATTTATAGAAAACCATCTTTCTTGCCAGAAATTGAGGCAAGTTAATTCTCTAGTTTGGAGAAGTATGGTCTTATGACTGCAATCTGTAGCCTTAAAAATTAGAAGCCTAGTATTCTTTATTTGATAGCTTAGAAAAAAAATGAATAAAATATAAAAGTTTTGTTTTTATTAAATGGAAAAATTAGAAAAAAAAAACAACTAGAGTACCTGGATCATATTGCATACTCACTAAATGTTTGTTAAATTGCAATAAAATAAAGCCAGCAGGGCTTGAGATTAGTTTTGCTTGTTGTTTTTCTTTTTTTTATATAAAATATGTGCCATGAGGTCTTATGTCCTAGTCACATTTGGCTCTGAGCATTCTAGTCGTCTATGCAAAAAGGGAAATGCAACCAGTGACAAAATCTGTAATGTCCATGAGATAAAAACAAACTGGCTGCTCAGTAGAAGCCCAGCTATTCCTAGGGACTTAATAACTGTTTCCAGAATGAAAGTATGGTGCTGAAATCTCAGAAAAAAATTCCCCTGTTTGCATTTTAAGGAGGGCACTTGACTCTTCACTCAGAGCATTATGTGGCTATTTCTCAGACCAATGCCCAAGAGTAGTTCAGGAAAACTGCTTTTATGGGGGTGAAACAAAACAACTGCCTGATGATGTGACTTAATTCAAAAAACTTTCTGAAATACCTAGAAACCCTAAAGCAATAGATAGAGTGTATTTCAGGCATGTATACATATTCCATGTGTAAAATAAGATTCATTGCCACCCTTTGAAGCTCTAGTTGCACTTTACAAAAGAAGTGTGTTACTGTCTTGTCTCATTTTTATAGCACTCATATCCCTGGCCACAGCCATTAATCAGATTTTTTTTTCTCTTTTGGGGAGGCAGGGGATTATACTAAAAAGCCATGGAATGTCTACTACAAGATGTAAAATTCTACATGATTGGCCTTTTGTAAATATTAAGCAAAACTAGTAAATCAAGATGATCATATTAACATATTTTAACAGAAATATCCATATGAAAGGCAATGTTGACATTCTTTATGAAAGCTGCTTTTTCCCTTTACTGCTGCCATTTTTATTGTAGATTTCCCTGTTCAGCACTTAGTTCCAATTTTTTAAATGATCCATTTCAACAGTAGACAGCAATATTCTTCCAGTCATACGAGTTTTTGGTTTCATTTTATTACATTAAAGATTACAAAGCTCTACTGTGAATTTGTGTGCTAACATACCTTGTATTTTACAGGACTGTGTTCAAAGAATTATTATGATTGGGTCTAGAATTCTTTGTTTGGGTCTTTGAAGTGAAAGTCCAATGCAATTTAACCCTCAGTAGTAACTAAGCTATAAGTTCATTGCATATTTCAAAAAAATTAAAAGCATGAAAATAATATATAATTTATTCAAGAATCCCAAAAATTGTTGGATTTAAAAAGGTATCCATTTAAACATGGTAATAGTTTTGAGTAACAATCACTTTACTTGAATATAGTTTCCCAGAACTCTGCTTATAACTTGGTTGCTTGGAGTTATAAATTAAAGTCCATTCAGTGGATACTTATGTGCCAATGCTATCCCCACCCTGAAGGAACTTTCTTGCTGGTGGTGTGGAAAAAAAGACAAGGACACAAATAACTTGGCAAACCTCTTTTCAACACATTGTCAAGTGCCTTATAAAGCAAGCTCAAATGTGGCAGAAAGCCACCATCAAATTTCAGAATCAAAGAATTCATAAATTGTTACAAGTTTATTCTGTGGATCAACTACCCAGAATTTGCTAAGTTTGCACTCGTACCTTACGCTCAAGCCTTTGTCATCTCTTCTCCCAGCATACTTACCACACAGCCCGCCTCCTCCCACAAAACAGCTGAGGCAGGAAGCAGAGTTCCAGCTAGTGGGTAGTCCGAACTCTACTGGCTTTAACGTCTGTATCCTCATCATTAAGCTTAGCATCTCTATCAAGGATTTCCTAGTTCTTAAATAAATGATTATTATTGATTTAAAAAATGACAAGTTGCCAAAGTTTTAGGGATTTTTTATCTCTTCACTAAAAGTGGCAGATTTTCTGCCACAACCTATTTTCACTAGTGATCATTTTATCTTATATTCTAATTAGCATAGCACAATGTTATCATTAATACCTGAGAACTGTTTTCTACTATTTTACGTTAAATTTCATGTTTGCGTTTGGAGAGCAGTTTGCCTTTTTCCAGTGGATCCCATTATAAACATGACTGAGTACCCTATTTTACTAAATGAGGAATACCTCATTTTATCAAGACTTGCATTTCTCTTCTGGTCTCACAGTTTAAATATATACCATCTACTACAGTACCCTATCTGTGACCCTCCAACCAGCCCACACTTGTAAGTTCTTTTGTCTCTCCCTGGCTCTCTCAGAGCCAAATTCCCATGGAAGCTGAAATTCCCGTAGATAGCTACAGAAGGGACAAGGATCAACCAGTAGGTGGGGATCTCTGTGGGAGCCACTGGCAGCACCCAGGAGGTAGGGCTTTAGGGGGATGACTACCTTCGGCATCAACCAGTCAGAGCAGAGCAGGGTCCTGGAAACTCATTATTAACCTTTTAGTTGCTACACGGATGGGTCTTGGGTGTGAAGGCAGCATGGCCAGGGCACTTTTACCAACCTGGAGGATAGTTTTTAAATACTTTAATTGTCTGTGGAGCCTTACCTGTAAATACTAGCTGAGTATCAGACCTGCTCACAACCCCTCCTAAGAAGCTGGATCTATAGACTTAAGGCAGTGTATGAAGGTAAATCGGCATTTTAACCTGCCATCTATGAGTTCTCTGGTCTCCCAGGCTTGAATCTGACCTGCTTTAAATATGGATTCAATGCTTGCAAGACCTCTGGTATCTTTTCACCCAAAGTTTTGACTTTTTCCTTCTAAGCCTCAGTTTCCTCTTTTATAAAATGGTTATATTAATCACTAGTAAGTGCTTCTTATTTGCAATAGCCAAAATAGGGAATCAACCTCAGTGTCCATCAGTGGATGAATGAATAAAGAAAATGTGCTATATGTACACAATGGACTATTATTTGGCTATAAAAAAATGAAATCCTGTCATTCGTAGCCACATGGATGGAACTGAAGGTCATTGTGTTAAGTAAAAAAAGCCAGGCACAGAAAGACAAATATTGCATGTTCTCACTCATATGCCAGAACTAAAAAAATGGATTCCCTGAGGATAGACAGTAGATTGGTGGTTACCAGAGGCCAGGAAGGGTGTGGAGAAAGGGGTGGATAAAGAGAGGTTAATTAATGGGTACAAATAAACACTTAGATAGAATGAAACCTGGTGTTCAATAGGTCAATAGGGTGACTATAGTTAACAATAACTAATTGTACAATTCAAAATAGCTAAAAGAAAATAATTCAAATGCTCCTAGCATAAAGAAAATATTTAAGGTAATTTATATCCCAATTATTCTGATTTGTCTATATGAATGTATTAAATTATCACATTTCCCTGAAAATGTATACATCTAATATGAATCAATAAAAAGTTGTTTTAAGTAATGCTTCAACATACTGTTGCTGTGAGATTTAAATGAGATAATATAAGTGAAACCCATAGTACAATGCCTTTGATGTAGTTAGTACTAGCCATTACTCACTTTTCGTGGGATCTGCAATCAATAGATTTTAAAATCCTGTATGTAGTTACATAGCTGATTTGAAATATTCGACTACAGAAGCACATGCTGTGCATTGTGTTAAAACAAAAAGATGACCAGAAAAATAGGTTATTATTAAGTATGAGACATTTTCTTGCTTTCAGACACTGTAGAGCTATTGTGTGCTCTGATGACTCAAAGAAGCCTGGGGTTTCAAGGGCTGATGTCAGCTAGTGGCTTCTGGGCTTTTACTTCTAATGAGGAAGGGGTATTCTCTCTCTCTCTCTCTATCTCTCTCTCTCTCTCTCTCTCTCTCTGGAAAAAGGAAGACTCTCTGTCAAGCTTCAGGTCTCCCTGTATTCATATATTATCTTTTCCTTTGACTTTTGCTCAAAACTGTGGAATAGAGCATATCTTTAAAGCACCGATGTCAGGAAACCCCAGGCTCTTTCCTTTCTGGGCAACATAAATGAGAAAACGGTCACAAAAGATATGGAACCTTAGGAGGAAATAAATAAAAATGAATCCTAGAGGGCAGCATTAAAAAGTGTATAGAAAAACTCTGTTAACAAGTAAATGAGTATTTTTAACAAGGTTTTCTTGTCATCTTCTTTGACTGGCATCAGAGTTTTCATTTGAATCATGTTATATTAGGTGCTCTGAGCAAAAGTCAATTATAATTTAGATTACTGATGAAAGCTAAACATCAGAATAAGAGTTAGAAGGAAGCACTGTGGCATACCATTTTCTGAGAGCTTGTTTGAACCATGTCTATTTGTTTCCTTTTCCCCCTTGGTGGGTATCATTTTCACAATATGCTTTATTGTGTTCTGTCTTCCCTTCTTGAAAGTCCTGTTCACAAATGGTTGTCATTGTCTCAGTCACATATTGGTTTAGTATTGACTAATTATTTAACCTTTCTTGATATTTTCTTCATCATCCATGACATGGAATAAATTCTCCTGATACATTTCAAAGCCCCTGTGCTAATTCTCTAGCTGTGATTTCCGAACCAAGACTGTTTGTAGTAATCTAAGTCTAAAATATCTTCATCTGAGAAATACATATATAATTGTGGTCCTTCTTGAAAGGGACCTTATTGAAAACACTTTCTCCCTGTTCTTTCTATGCAACTACCTTTATCGCTGCCAGTGAACAACTGCCATGAGCATCTAGATTAATAAGTGACAGTCAAAAATAAGATGGAGAGAAAAATGTGAGGCTGAATTTATATATGAGAAATTATTAAATAATAATTATAGAAGTTAATCTAAATATTATCTACATATTATTAATTTATCGAAATATTATTAATTCATCTTTAAGTTTGGATGTCTGTTGATAAGATTTTCTTTGCTAAATGAAAAACTCCCATTCTTTTTTGTAAAGTTGACAATCAAATCCAGATTTAGTTAATGTCCCTCTCTCTCTGCCTTTGCATTGTTCTTAAAAGGGGGAAATCTGAAAAAAAAAATTAATTTTGATGTTGTTATTTCCCATACACATTTCAGTATTCAGATATTAATTTTAGAGATTATAAGCATATTTTCTCAACACACATTATATTTACTCTTAGTATTCATATTAATTTTGAGATGGAAAATAAGAATTTAGTATTATAAATGTGTGAGGCATTCTCTTTGATCTATTAGAACTTTGAATATAATTCATTGTAGCACATATCATTCTGAGTTACAAGCATTAGTTTATATCTCTGTCTCCTCCTCACTTCCACATCTTTCCTTTCCTTCCCTTCCAAGATTGGCAGTTTCTAGAAAGCAACAACCTTGTCTGCCTTATGTTCATTCCTTATCATCACATAGGTTCTTGGCATGATGCCCTGGCAAATAGTGAGGGCTCAATAAATGTAGTAGAAATAAATAAATGAATGTTGTTGATGTTATAGATGCATACAAATTGTATGGTGTTACTATAAATTTTCAAATTCAATATTCTCACCAAATAATATTGATTCATTACCTATATCTTATTTTACACCGTGAAGTAACAAAGAATCCTATAAAGATCAGTGCTCAAGCTTAATCCCAAATTATTGATTCCAAATAACTTGGATTAATACTCAAGCTTAATCCCAAATTATATGGCTCCATCCTGTGAAGCAAGAAGGATGTGGTTACTGAAGGCCTTTCCTAAAGCTTAGAGCATTGTTCACACATGAAGGAAATGATGAGTAAACATTAATGTAACTTTAAATGGGGGAAAAATAGAGCTATTCTGCCTTCAAGCTGGACTACCACCTACAAAAAGGCAAGTTAGGGTCAAAGGATAAGGTAGAATAAAGGAAGAACTAATATTTGTGCTCTCTACTTTGTACCAGCTACAGTGCCAGGAACTTTACGTGTTGCTTTCTATCGTTTTCATAACAGCACTAGGAGTTAGGTACTATTATTCCCTTCTATTACTGAGAAAACAGGTTTCTCAGAGCTGTCAAGTAGGAGTCCTAGGATTTAAAGTGAAACTATACAAACCCATTATTTTGCACTACAATAAAAAACATGATCATGTTTAACCCTGTCTTAAATACTTTCTGGAATAAGTCAGGGCATACATCAATTATGTAAATGATTCCTACCAGCTTTATCAGAGATCACAACCATCGTGTTACTGAAATGCCAAGGGTTTGGTCTAGGTCCTGTTGCTTGCTGCACAGAAAGCCAATCACTGAGACAACAAGTATTGCCAGGGAAGAAGGCTTTATTCAGGTGCTGCAGTTGAGGAGCACAGGAGTTAAGTCTCAAATCTGACTCTCAACCGAATAAAATTGGGAGGTTTATGTAGTAGGAGTAGAGACATAGCTACATGTAGGAAGGAATTAGGGAGAGGTAAGGAAGCAATCATGATAAATGAGGACTCTGGTATCTCATTACTGAGATTGTCTGAATGTGGTGATCTGGTGAGTTTCAGTCAATTGTCTGAGGGTTGTTTTTCTCAGGAAGGAACTCAGACAAGACAAATATAAGTTTCAAGTTTTAGGATTGGGAGAGTCAACTTCTATGTCTATTCAAAAAACAGTAACTATCATTTTTATTGGACAATTGCATTGGTTTTAATCTCAGCAGTGGGGAGAGTGTCAGGAAGGGCTTCATAGGGGAAAGGTGCAGACTTTGACTTGAGATAAACTTTGGTTCGTATCCCTGTTCTGCCTCTTAGTCATCCTGAGCAAGTTACTTAAGCATGCTAGTCTTTGATTATATCATTTGTGAAATGGAGATGTTCATAGGCTTTTCAAATGACAAGCATGATATCTGAAACAGAGAAGGTCTCCAAAAATGATGGTTGCTTGAATCACCATTTGAGTAGAATGATGCTTCATTCTTCTTTCCGAAGATGCTACTTAAAGGACATGGTCATGAAAGCAGAACAGATAAGAACAGAAAGATAAGACTATTGTCTCAGGGAGGGCTTAGTTGATTTTATGACAAGAGGGATATACCTCGAAGTATGTGTCAGTTTGATGTAAAATGCCTTTGACACACAATGAAATGTGGCATGTTACATTGAATCTATATTTCTGTTTGTTGTTTGCTTCATTAAACAATGATTGATGGTACATCTTGAAATTCATCAAAATTTAGAACAAACTATTAAAAGAAAGATTGTTGGGGTTTAGAAAATGATACCCTAAAGGTATGGCAATTTGGCATGCTGAGCACTTCCTTAAATAGGAAGGCCTCAGAAGCTACCTCAGAATCAAAACCTTTCTGACCTGTCTTGTCTCTCCCCACACCCCACTGCAAGGTGAAATTTTAGTCTGATTGAAAACACCTTTGCAAAAATGATAACCAAGAAAATAATTACAGTGAAAGAGATCTGACCTAACTGACTCCATCTTGTTTCTATCCTCCAAGTTGTCCTTGTTCATTCCAGGGCAAAAGCCGAACTAACTTTGGGAGGAATTTAGTTTACAGTTTAACTTTGAAACTAAGATGATAACTGTCTTTGCCCAAAATAAACCCCCTTCTTGCCTGGGGATCAGTCTGCCTTTGTAGTAGCAACAATTTAGCTACAAGACTGGAAGTTATGGTTAAGGAGTCATGCAGCCAGAGGCTGCAAGATTCTGAAACACCCTAAACTGCTCTTGGGGATAACATCACTGTTGTAGAACTTAAGATCACTTTGAAGACCCTGCGTTCCAATGCACCAGCAGACACCACCTGGACCAGCAATCTGCCTCAGCCAGTTCGGCAATCCCACTTAGTAACAGGAGTCATCAAGAATAACCCACTTCAGCTCCCTATGATCTCATCTCTGACCCAACCAATCAACACTCCCCACTTTCAGACCCCTACCCACCAACTTATCCTTAAAAACCCCTGGGGAGACTGATTTGAGTAATAATAAAACTCCGGTCTTCCGAAGAGCTGGCTCTGCGTGAATTAAACTCCTTTGCTATTGCAAGTCCTCTGTCTTGATAAATCGGCTCTGTCTAGGCAGCGGGCAAGGAGAACCCACTGGACAGTTACATAATCTTCCCTTATCTGCCTTAAGACCAGAACTGCCAAAGGGAGCACAGTTGCCTTCCATATCCCCCCTGAAATTTTATTCCAGTACTGCCAAAGGAAACACAATTGCCTTCCATATCCTCCCTGAAATTTTATTCCAGCACTGCCAAAGGGAACATAATTGCCTTCCGTATCTTCCCTGAAATTTTATTATCTATTACAGAAAAGAAGACAGAAATGTAACCACACCTGGACAAACTTTGTTACAAGATGTTGTCTGTCTCTTGGGTTTCTTCAAATTCCAGAGAATCATTTACAAGACAATGTCTGCTTCCTAAGTCCATTCATTTCCCCTGGAAATCATTTACTACTCCTACTCCTCTAAAATTGCCTGCAGCCCCCGGTAAAAAGGATATTTAAGTCTCAACCATCCGCCCCTTCTTTTTTTATATTTTGTATGGCTCCTGCAAAACATGAATAAATTTGTCGTGGCTTTTCTTTCATTAATCTGTCTATAGCCAATTTATTTCAGAAGACTTAGACTCTAACATTCAGAGGGAAAGTTTGAACTTCCCTACAATTACAAAGGTGCCTTCAAAGAATTTGCAAACATAATGTAGTGTAAATTATAACCAATGCCTAATAAATGCAATGGAGAAGTGAAAACAGGGAGAGAGAATTTCAGGTTTAGATGATAATTCCAGGTTTGGATTTTCCAGGGTCTTAAATCATATAATGGATTTTACAAGGCAAAAATAAAAGGTGAAGGTGGATTATATTTGAGGAGGACTCTCTGGTATGGAGTTTGCATTGGAAAAATGTAGCAGGAGAAAGGGTAGAGAGATTGAGGCAAGGCAGAAAGCATGTAATGGAAGCCTAAGAACTTAAAAGCAAATAATCTGACAAGTTACCTATTTGGTTTGCTTTAAATTGGATAATTTTATCTTCCAGAAGCTAAAGGAATGTGAGAAAAATAGGGTAAAGGACACCAAGAGACATACCTTTGTGGTACAAACATGAGAATGGTGATAGAAAAACTCACTTGTAGCATAAAGCTATTTAATAATGTCAAGTCATTAAATGCAACTTTTGAAGTAAGAATTAGAACAAAGAAGTGATCATCTCGTTGCTTAGGAAACATACTCTGAAGTTAAAAGAAAGAGCATCACCGTTCACTTCCTATTCAGCTTCTATCTTTTACAGCCATGATGATGGTCTTCAAACTCGAAATAATGACACTAATAACAATAGTACTTTGCTATTTTCATCAGGCTTTTAATGCTTCAAATACCAGGGCAATAGTTCTTCTAAAATCAGGGTGAACAGAAATCATGAATTTTTTTTTTTTTGAGGCACTCTATCACCCAGGCTGGAGTGTAGTGGCCAGTCACAGCTCACTGCAATCTCTATCTCCTGGGCTCAAGTGATCCTCCCACCTCAGCCTCCTGAGTAGCTGGGACTTCACGTTTGAACCACTGTTAGCAGTGGAATGTATCTGAGTCATGTGTCACCAAAGTATTTTAGCAGTGGTGGATCCATACAGGTCTGCAGCAACCTCAATTCTTGCCTCCTCAGGAGAAAGAATTCGACTGAGGGACAGAAGGCAGAAGGAGAGACCAAGGCAAGTTTTAGAGCATGAGTGAAAGTTTATTAAAAAGCTGTAGAGCAGGAATGAAAGGAAGTCAAGTACATTTGGAAGAGGGCCACACTGACAACTTGAGAGATCAAGTGTACTGTTTGACCTCTGACTTGGGGTTTTATATGTCAGCATACTTCCAGGGTCTTGCATTCCTTCTGTCTTGATTCTTCCCTTGGGGTGGCCTGTCTGCATGCACAGTGGCCTACTAGCACTTGAGAAGTGAGCATGCACAGTGGGTTTACTGGAGTTGTACACATGCTCACTTGAGGCATTTTTCCCTTACCCGTCCAATGTTCCTAGAGGAAGCTCATCCACCATTTTGCCTCTTAGTGTGCATAGGTGAGCCCACTCAGCCAACTCCCGAGATCTTATGAGGAAGCTGATAATCACTAGTTTCAGATATTTCTCTCTATTGGGAGAGTGCCTTTCCCTGGCACTGTCTGTGACCAATTATTATTTTAGAGAGACAGTTAACAGCTGCCTGACCATCACCTGATGGTCATCTGACATTCCTAGTGCAGGGGGGATGCCCTCTCCTGCCCTGCTCATGTCTGACTAGCTACCTACTGTAGCAGCACCACATCTGGCCAATTTTTGTATTTTTTGTAGAGACAGAGTTTCATCATGTTGCCCAGGCTGGTCTTGAACTCCTGGACTCAAGTGATCTGCCTGCCTTAGCCTCCCAAAGTGCTGGGATTACAGGCATGAGCCACCTCACCTGGCCTGAGATGTTTGTGGGGGTTTTGCTTTTGTTTTTGTAAATTAGAAACAGGGTCTCTCTATGTTGGCAAGGCTGGTCTTGAACTTCTGGGCTCAATCAATCCTCCCACCTCAGCCTCCCGAAGTGTTGGGATTACAGGCATGAGCCATTGCAGCCAGCCTGAATTCTAATTCTAATTGGTAAAAATTAGGACTGTGCCCTTGCCATTCCCTTCTTTTAAACTTGTAATTCAATTACTTGGCATGACTGGTCCTTATATTATAAAATATACTAAATCAAAAATCATCATAATAAAAGCAGCTCCTTGAGCAACTGGACAAAAAAAGCAGCTGGGCATAAACACTAGTAAAGTTTAAACAATTGTATTTGGCAAGTATTCCCCAACGTATAAACAATTACCACTAAAAAAAATCTGTTCAGTTCATTTTGAGTAGTTATATTAATCCATTCAGCTATTACTGGTACATTTGCAACTCAACCTGGCTAAATCATTCAGAATAGAATCCTACTAAAAATTATACCATCATGAGATAGTATCCTGTAGTGGAAAGAGCACAGGCTTTAGACTAGGTTTATGTATCAGTTCCCAAATTATTAGGTATATGATTATAAAATGAGGATAATCATGCCCACTTGTCAGTTGTCATGATGATTCAATGTGATTATATATTCTGGGAAACTGATATTTATTGAGCACCTACCATGGGTCAGGTAGCCTAGTATTAAATCTTCTAGGCAACTTAATGAGGTAGATATTAAAAGCAGAGCCAGACTTTGAGCCCAGGTCTTACTTCAAATTTCATGTTCCTTCCACATTATGTAATAAGATGCCTGTCATGGTGCCTAACACAAAGCAGGCCCAAAGAAATACTTATTGAACTGAATGAACAGCTTGATTGTAATAGAAGTGATTAAATCATCATACTATTCTTTACATTTTTAAGCCAAAATTATCTTTTATTTCTATTTTTAATTTTTTGAGGAATCTTCATATTGTTTTCTATAGGGCTGCACCATTTTGCATTTCCACCAAAGGAAAAGGGGCCCCAGTTTCTCCACATCCTTGCCAACATGGTCAGAATGTTTTTAAAAACAATTCACTTTTGTAAAGCCTGTCCAAAATACTGAACTTGGATTTTACAGAAACAAATTGATTTTGTTTCACATTCATATTCCATAGGCTTGTGTAATACTTAATAGAAAATACATAACAACTGCAGCTAGCATATTCATGTTTGGAATAAAGACAATGGTGATCTGTAAATTCATAACTCAGCTGGTAGAAGCAGGGTGGTGGAAATTCCAGAGAAGAGCTAGCAGCCTAAATCATTCATCCTGCTGTGAGTATCAGTGAACGTGTTTACAGAGAGAGCAGGAGCTGAGGGGTACTTATGTGGAAATGAGTTAAGAGCCCTCTTACACCTTAAAACAAAAGGGTTGAAGGAGATGACCTCTGAATTCCCTTCAAGTTCACAGTAGGTTTTTGTGCTGGACTAAAAATCATAGAACTGGATTAGAAATTTAAAGATATCATCAGGATCCTATATTTAATAATCACTTAAAGGTTTTGAGTTCATAGATTTCACACCTTATGTACTGCCCCCTCCCCAGGTTTTCTTTGAAGATATAAAGGAGTTGCTACAGGCTTTCTTCCAATTTAGGAGGTTGCAACTGTATTTTAAAGATGATGCTCCTAAAATATGTTATAGTAGGGTATATGGCTAGGAAAGATCCAGAGACATGGTTCAAAGGCAAACTCTGCTTCCGACTGGTGAGCAAGATACACATTTCTGAAACTTTGTTTCCTTTGTATAAAATGAGTGGACTGGGGGCCGGGCGCAGTGGCTCACACCTGTAATCCCAGCATTTTGGGAGGCCGAGGCAAGCGGATCACGAGGTCAGGAGATCGAGACCATCCTGGCTAACACGGTGAAGCCCCATCTCTACTAAAAACACAAAAAAAATTAGCCGGGCGTGGTGGCGGGCGCCCGTAGTCCCAGCTACTTGGGAGGCTGAGGCAGGAGAATGGCGTGAACCCGGGAGGCAGAGCTTGCAGTGAGCCGATGAGCTGAGATCACGCCACTGTACTCCAGCCTGGGAGACAGACTCCGTATCAAAAAAAAAAAAAAAAAAAAAAAAGAGTGGATTGGACAGATGATGTTTATGACTTTGTCCAGTCTATAATTCTATGATTTCTAATACCTTCTACGCTCGAAAATTTTCGTGTGAAAATTGTCATTTATTTGGTAGCAGCTACTATCTGAAAGGTCCACTGCTATTTGCAACTCTACCTTCCAGACAGTAATCAGCCTGAAATTACTGAAAAACAACAACTCTGTTCCTTGTAGCTACATACCAGGCTGTTCTGTCACTTAATGTCATAGTCATCTACAGTTAATTCTATATTGCTGTAGGGTCTGCTTCAATAGTAATCTAAAGCACTTCTCTGTCCTCCCTATTTGGAAATGTCACATTTCAGAACACTATACTCCAGCTTGTTGAGTATCCTGCTATTGTCTCTTCCTCATACCTGATCAGTTAGCAAAATTGTGTTTTGATGACTACCCCTTCAATCCTGGTGGTCTGGCTGTTTTCAAGGACTTTGTAGTTATTACTCTTTTCTTGTCACTTGATACGCAGTTGGGATGGCAGGCAACCCAGATGAAATTATTCCAAAAGGTAGATATAATGTCAGTGGTTGTCCATGTTTTATGTACCTATAAAATACTAGAGAGCACTATTTTTTTAAGTCATTTGTTGTGGATTGAGTTTTTTTTTTCCCACATTGGAGCTGTATTTTTTGTCAATTTTTCTACATATATATCTTCACTTTCAATTCAAGTCTATTCTTCCTAGTCAATTTCTAATTAAACCTAAAAGCAGAATTCACAGGAAGTTTTCAGTGCCATAGTTCCAATGGAAAACTTTGGGAAAATCTTTAAAACCTCTGCTAGAGGTTGCTAAGGAAGTTCAGTTGTCTTTAGAACCATTGAAATTGCGTGGTAAAATGCTGACCCTACAAAATGACCCACTGACTTGTGTATACTTAAGGACACACAACAAGTCCTAGGTGATTATTACCATGACTTCCAATGTAACATATAACCTACTGAGTTTGAAAAATTAACCCAGGCTTCTAAGGGCATGCTCTAATTAGTATAAACCCTTGGAACCTAGTTGCATCTGAAGATAAACAAAAATGTTTGCTTCAGAGGAGACATGTCAGGAAACCCAGTTTTCCTCTTTTTACAATGGAAAATGGATCAAGGAATTCAAAGCAATCAATCAACCTTAGTATATAGGCCAACTTTTTTTTTTTAGGTCAACGTCTTCACTGTATAATGATCCTTTTGACCTTGCCATTTGAATTTTCATGAAATGGGAGAGTTAACCCCTACTTGGAGGTTTAGCTCTGCTACAGGCTTTGAGGCCAATCCTATTACTTTTCAGTGGGAGGATTATGAGTTTATTTTAGAAGCTCAGAATGCTCAGAATATGCATTCCCAGTCTCCCAGTAATTGCACTTCTAAGGAGTTTCTTTTTCTTTCTTTGAAGGATTTAGAGTAGCTTTCTTGGAACACTGTTAATGTCATTCTTCTAAAAGCATCCTGTCTATCAGACTTGGCTGAATGAAACCATCGCAAAACTGAATCTACAGAAACACAGTAAACAAACATATAGCATCAGCTTTGAAAGTAATTTACAGAGTTTTAAGAATAAGCAGATAAATTTATTGATTGTTACATTTACATCTGTTGCAGTCTGATTTGTTGGAAACTCCATGAATTGGATTTTATAGTCCATGTTCATTTTTCTGAATAAATTATGTCCTAGAAATCTGTCGTGGACATACGGTCTAGCAGGTGAATTCATACTGATGATCATCTCTCTAACAGTGTTTTCTAACATCTAAGTACTACTTTTAGCCCTAGAAAAGGATTTTAATGTTTAGAAAAGAACATTTTAATAAAGCCTTGCTAATATTGACATATATAGGCATCTTAACTTGATTGAAATTCTGTCTTCCCAAAGATGGTTCTATTTTAACATTGTATATGAAGGAAGAAATCCTAGCCTAATAATTTGAAATTATGTTTTTTATAACAGAATTCATTTGCTTTTATTTTAACATCATAATAAGTGTATCACTTTGATCCTTACACAGTATCTTTTATCTGTTGTGTAACAATCATGCTACTGAATGTTAGATATTACATGACATATGAAGGAAGTTTAACTTGAGCAGTTACTGAGTTCATCCAGACTTGAAGCCTCTGTTTGTCAAGAAGTTAATATTTTTAAAGATACACTGACTTTATAATCTGTAATTATTTTCTTATCAATTACATTTTTATAGTTTTCTGATTAGCTGGCACTTGGAGCTTAGTGTTACCGTTTAGCTCTGCAGGGTCCTTTTAGACACTATTATTGTAAAGAAACATCAAAAATCAAAGTGAATTCTTAGTATTATACTTGAAGCAGTAGAGGCGCAATTGCTGAAACAGCAGCCAAGCATTGTGCTGTAGAACTAACTCACAGCTTGGTGCCCAGTCCCTGCTGAGAAGGAAATGTAGGGGAACTGGCAGAGTTTTACTACATCTGCTCCCTGCTGCTAATGAGCTTTAACCTGTTTCATTCTTACTATGCTTACTGTTTAGATACTTTGCTTGCAAAATTAATTTTTTAGCTGAGAGAACACATGAAAGAGGATATGATTTGTAAAGTAGAGCTGTTTAAAAATTAAAAGGTATCAGCAAGGGAGATTAAAGGCTATGAGTGATATGGTTACTTAATATCAATTCAAGGGCAGAAGCTCAGGTGGTAAAGCTAGAGTTCTCAGTTTCAGTTCTTTCTGTAATGTGGGCTACAGCTCCAGGAGTTGTAGTCTTTGTTTTGCATTGTGCCATCTATACCAATATGCTTTATATTTATCAAAGAAGGGAAATAGTATTTTTTGCTTTGAAGGCTTCATTGATCCTCTGAATGGTGCCAAAGTTCTAGTGATATGCAGCCTCTAAAAACAAGCATGTTTCAGCAACATTATATTATTATAGCCAAGAAATAATGAGCTTCCTATACCCAATTTCTTGTAACCTATACCTGATCACCTACACAAAAACAAAACTGAAAGAGCAGATGAGATTATTTATTATCTGAGATTATTCACAATGAAATAATATCATTTGTATAGCCATAGAAGTTTGCTCTTTAACAATTGTCATACATTCCTTTGTTCCTCACTTCAACTTTCTAAAATAATCAGATAAGTATTGTTCATTTTGTAATGAAAATTTGCAAAGGCATGTTATATATCATAGCTGGATGAAAATTTTGTCGGTGGGTAAGTATGAAAAGTGTACATGCTATCGATGGGGAGTAGGAACATCACCTTTAGATTTGCAGAATAATCCTCACCATTATCATCATCACCCTTGTCAATAATAATTAAGCTCACAAACCTATCCCAGTTCTTCAATAGAAACTAAACGTATTAAATTTTCAGCCAGAATTGCACATTACTTTTGGTAATAATATAGTCTGAAACACTCTGCAAAGAAAGCAGTTTACTCTAGTATAGCATTTCTCAGGGTTTTTGGCCTTAAAAGTAAAAAAAAAAAAAAAAAAAAAAAAAAAAAAAAAAAATTCTTAGAGTTGTCCAGTTTTGATCAGCATTATTTTCTTATGTTATTATACTTATACATGTAAAACTGTAAAATTAGCCATGAATTCCTTTATCTATAGGTTTTATACAACTATACAACCAAAACAAATGTAAAGACTAAATAAAAACAAACCTACAAAACCAATACAACTATAATTAAAAGTATTACTTTATTGTGACACATGCTGTAATTATTTTTAGTAATTACATACATCTTTATTTAGAAAGACAATCATTTTACTAATCTTCTTTACAACATTGATTAATAAAGAAATATCATTAAACAAAGGTATATTATACATTTACTTCTACACACTGCTAATGAGCTACTGCTAATTAATACTTACAAAAATAGGTCTCATGATAATTCTCCTTACCAAGTAAGTGCTGACTCCTATAGTGTGACTTCTTTTCTGGTTGGTATAGCTAAGCTACAATATGTCATGAAATGACTCATTTCTTCCACTATTTCTCTCTATGTGAACTATTGTAAAACCTTTTGCTCAGCATGTCATCTTAACATTTGGCCTGTACTTGGGACAAGGGCATTGTTTATGTATTAAGTACACCTAAGCTCTATTTCTGATCATGTAAGACAGTTAAAGTAGTACATTACTCACTGCAATATTATTTCCTGATGTCAATCATAATCTCAATTGATTAAGTCAGGGAACTAAAGTCACATTCTATTAAACTATTAAAAGATAATTTTTTTTTTTTTACTAAAAAGCAGAGTTTTTTTTTATAACTGACAAGAGAATCTGAGGGCAAGAATAGTGAACACAGGGAGGATGGCTGCTATATTTAGTGCCTGCGTTTACATATGTTGGCACCAAATGAATACCTTAACTAAAACAAAGTGAAAAGTTTGCTGAAGCTTCCAGAGGGAGGCAAAGGAGAAAGAATGTTTAGGTGCTTGCTGGCACTAACACAAATGTAAACACAGGCATGAGTAATGTGACAATGCCCAAATATAAGGCAATCATCGAGACACATCTGTAAATACTACAAAATGTTATTATTATTTTAACTCTGAGATGGGAAATAGTCCTATCCCCATTTTACAAATGAGAAAATTGAAAAGTTAAGTGACTGCCCTAAGAGCTCAAAGCCAATTGGTGGTGGAACCATATTTTAAGCCTCAGTTGTCTGGCTAGTATCAGTGCCCTTAATCAGTGGGAGTAGTAACTGAGAGAACACTAATGTCAACACAGCTACATTCATTATTTGCTTAAATGCATATTTTTGTATTTTTATATTGCCTTTTTTAATGGAAAATAGATAAAAACAGAATTTTAAAAATTACTTTCAATGCCTATTTCACTTTGGCCATAAGAAATATATATTAAAATTGTTTACTAAAGTATTGATTTAAAAGGACAAGATATCACATTTTTTTCAAGAAAGTAAAGTAGGGCAGGCATGGTGGCTTATGCCTATAATCCCAGCACTTTGGGAGGCTGAGATGGGAGGATCTCTTGAGTCCAGGAGTTCAAGATCAGTCCACAGCCTGGGCAACATGATAAGATCCCTGTCTCTACAAAAGAAAGAAAGAAAAAAGAAAGTTAAAAAACTTATCTGGGCATGGTGGCACACACTTGTAGTTCCAGCCACTTGGGAGGCTGACGTGGGAGGATCGCTTGGGCCTAGGAGGTCAAGGCTGCAGTGAGCCATGATCGTGTGCCAGCCTGGGCAAGTAAGCAAAGTAGGCAAATACATCTTTTAATTAATTAGGCATTGTGGAACCCACTGGGCAAGTGTGTGTGTGTGTGTGTGTGTGTGTGTGTGTGTGTGTGTGTGTGTGTGTGTTTTAAAACCAACTGTCTTATTTCAAGGAGCAACCAAAACTGAAGGAAGGCTCTGATTTTCTTACATTTAGTGTAAATTAGTGCAATTACTATGTGAGGATATACATTGTTTTTCTCTACAATGCCATTTTTAATTAATTAATGAGTTTATTCACTTATTCATTTGACATCAATTTATTTTTTTAATCACTTTTTTTCAGAGTATAGTAATGTATATTCATGGCAGAAATTTGGAAAAATCTATTACAGTACAAACAGAGAAATGACAGTCACCTTCTCTCTCTATTTAAGCTAATGAATGTTTAATATTTTCATGCATATTCTTTCGTTAGATCATTAGATGGGATTGGGTCCCAGAGAGAGCCTTGCTTTTTGCCCCTGAATGCAAGTCAGCTCACCCCTCCTCAAAACAAATCTATCTTTACAAGTACAAGAGAAAAATGAAAATTTTGCTGACGTTTTCAGAAGGAGACAAAGGAGAAGAAATACAATACATACTACACAGCAAAACCGTAGAAAATCTCTATTAGACTTCTGTTCTTTGCCATGCATCTACTTCCTATTAAACACCAACTGCATCAACTCCTTAGTTTTGCAGCATAGAGCTGGTCTTGTCTCCCATCCTCTCATCTCATTCTCACAAGTATCACCCCATTCAGTAAACAAAGGGCCATCCTAGCATCCCCTGTCTTTACAAGCCAGCAGGGGCTTGCAAGAAACATATGTATTTTCTTCACAACAGGTAATATTTCCTGTCTCATTTCTATCTGTATGCACATATATGTGAATATAAGTGCACACATGTATTATGTATGTATTTAAAGGCTTCTAGTCTTTGAACCGCCTTTTCTCCCACATAATGTTTTATTTTTCCTTACAAGTAAATGTTCTTTAAATGAAAACATAGATTTTTATAGTTGAACAGTATTTTATTATGGAATATACTGTAATGTATTTGACTCTTTTTGGATATTTTCATTATTAACAATTTTTGCTATTATCTACATAAACATCCTATATATTTCCAATTATTTTCTTGTGGACATTTCCAATTATTTTCTTCTAATAAATTTCTAAACTTGAATTTTGGGGGATGAATTGAATAAGCATTTTAAAATTTGATGTAAATTGTCCTCCAGAAAAATGTTAACATAACATTTTTTTTCTTTTTTTTTTTTTTTTTTTTTTTGACAGAGTTGTGCTCTTGTTGCACAGGCTGGGGTGCAATGGCGCAATCTTGGCTCACCACAAACTCCACCTCCTGGGTTCAAACCGTTCTCCTGCCTCAGCCTCCTGAGTAGCTGGGATTACAGGCATGTGCCACCATGCCTGGCTAATTTTGTATTTTTAGTAGAGATGGGATTTCTCCATGTTGGTCAGGCTGGTCTCGAACTCCCAACCTCAGGTGATCCACCTGCTTTGGCCTTCCAAAGTGCTGAGATTACAAGTGTGAGCCACCGCATCCGGCCAGCATAACACATTTATTGAGCACTTATTGGGTACTAGGTACTATACTAGCTGGTTGGGGTACAAAAATATGTTGGATGTATTCTCTGTTATTCAAAAGCTTACAGTTGAGTATTTACTCTAATTAAATGGTAGGCCCCTGATACCTCTAAAAGGTATATTTGAATTTGCACTTAATGACAGTTGAGAAGCTTCTGGCTCTGACCATATATTTAATTTTTAATTACACATATCACACACAAAAATACTTTCTAATTCTTGAAGCCAACAAAAAAACTTCTGTATACAATATTTGCCAGGATATTAAACTGTTGGTATATTATATGGTTTGGCTGTGTCCTCTCCTAAATCTCATCTTGAATTGTTGCTCCCATAATTCCCATGTGTCATGGAGGGACCTGGTGGGAGGTAATTGAATCATGGGGGCGGGTCTTTCCCATGCTGTTCTTGTGACAGTGAATAAGTCTCACAAGATCTGATGGTTTTGTAAAGGAGAGTTCCTCTGAACATGCCCTCTCTTGCCTGCTGCCATGTAAGACATGACTTTGCTTCTCATTGCCTTCTGCCATGATTTTGAGGTGGATTGTGATAGATTCCCAGCTATGTGGAACTGTGAGTCAATTAAACCTCTTTCCTTTATAAATTACCCACTCTCAGGTATATCTTTGTTAGCAGTGTGAGAACAGACTAATACAGTATATGAAACCCAAAAAGTTATTTTTTGAAGAATTATTTGTGGAATAAAAGTTGTTTCAATTTAGTCTTGAAAAGGAAATATCTGTTTTGTTCACATAGATGTTATATAACAAAAATATTATTTTAAAACTTGTTTATGCCACAAAGAAATGATAAATGCATGAGGTGATGGTCCTGCTAAATACCCTGATCTGATCTTCATACAACATATATATGTATTGAAACATCAAATTATATCCCATAAATAGGTACAATTACAAAGTATCACATTATTATTATTTTTTTTTTGAGGCAGAGTTTTGCTCTTGTTGTCCAGGCTGGAGTGCAATGGCATCATCTCAGCTCACCACAACCTCTGCCTCCCAGGTTCAAGCAATTCTCCTGCCTCAGCCTCCCGAGTAGCTGGGATTACAGGCATGTGCCACCATGTCCAGCTAATTTTTTGTATTTTTAGTAGAGATGGGGGTTTCTCCATGTTGGTCAAGCTGGTCTCGAACTCCTGACCTCAGGTGATCTGCCCACCTTGGCCTCCCAAAGTGCTGGGATTAAAGGCTTGAGCCACCACACCCGGCCACAAAGTATCAGTTTTAAAAAATTGATGATGATGATGATGATGATGATGATGATGATTTTTTTTTTTTTTTTTTTTTGGAGATGGGATCTTTGTCATCCAGGGTGGAGTGCAAGTGCAATCATAGGTCACTGTAGCCTGAAACTCCTGAGTTTGAGCAATCCTCCCACCTCAGCCTCCTCAGTAGCTGGGACTACAAGTGGACACCATCATGCTCAGCTAATTTTTATTATTATTATTATTTTTGTAGAGAGGTGGGGTCTCACTGTGTTGCCCAGGCTGATCTCGAGCTCCTGGCCTCAAGTCATCCCCCTACCTCAGCCTCCCAAAGTGCTGAGATTACAGGCTGGAGCCACCGTGCATGGCCCAAATAAATTAGTTTTTTTTAAAACTTGGTTACAGTCAACATCTGCTAAATCCATGACTTTGAAGTCTCGGTAGAAATGTACTTAACACCTCTTTTCTCCATAAGTCTAGCCATAGTAAGCATTTACAGGCCATTTTCAGATTACCAGAATGCAAGGGATATGAGGAGAGGTTGGTGGAAATGGATTAACCTTGTGGGAAAGGCTGAATGACAGTTATTTATTTCCTAGTTTAGTGGAATAGTAGCATTCATTGGCAAATACAAATACAATCAATTCTATGAGTACAACTTTAAGCTAAGCAGTCTTCACCAACATCTTTAGATAGAATCAGATGCCGTACGCTGCTATTTCTAATCATATGTCTTAGAAATGCAGAGAATCATTAGTCTTTTTGATATTTCACATGTCACCTGAAAAACATTTTAGTCTGACTGTTATTATGGTAGTTAAAATAGACAGTTTTGTGCAATTAAGACTATTAAATAATCCAAATGACAATAGATTCATTAAAAGACCTTACAGGCCAGGCACGGTGGCTCACGCCTGTAATCCCAGCACTTTGGGAGGCCAAGGCGGGCGGATCACCTGAGGTTGGGAGTTCGAGACCAGCCTGACCAACATGGAGAAACCCCATCTCTACTAAAAATACAAAATTAGCCAGGCGTGGTGGCACATGCCTGTCATCCCAGCTACTAGGGAGGCTGAGGCAGGAGAATCACTTGAAACCTGGAGGCGGAGGTTGTGGTGAGCTGAGATCACGCCATTGCACTCCAGCCTGGGCAACAAGAGTGAAACTCCATCTTAAAAAAAAAAAAAAGACCTTACAACTGTCGAATGATGGCAAGATAAAAACCCTGACAAGGTGGGAATGAAGATAAAAGATAAAAGTTAGGCCTGGCAATAGCCAACCTCTTGGATGCCCCTTTTCTTCCTTTTCTTCCATTATAGAATAAATAGCCCTCATATTGTTAAGTGGGGCAGCACTTTTCTTAGCCTTAAATTGGAGATAGTTATTTTATGAGTACCTAAAAGACGTAGTGATAAGAGTAAGGATAAACAAAGATTTAATTTCAGCAGCTCCATCACAACACTATACATAATACCTTACATTTTAAAAGTGCTTAGCATCCTACAAAAAAATTAAAATGTGTGGGTATTGTATATACAGTGATTCACACACAATGTTCATCATTTGAAGTCTGGAAATAAACTCCATCTTAACCTTAAATTGTTATTATCTCTTCACAGTTGAAATGCCAGTTGAAGGCATGCAGAAATTTAAAGTAACTGATTTAACAACCTCAGACAAAGAGAACATGTCTGAAAGTTTTTCTCCACGTTTGACTTGACCTGAGAGAGTTTCTCTCAGACTTATTTTCTAAACAGTACCCTAGTACCCTGGGCCAACGAAATGGCCTTTAAGCTTGAATGAACAAGGAATTTATTTTTTGTGTGCAAAGCTTCACTATTTCATCTTTTCAAGCTCTTTTACTGCGTTCAGTGTGGAATTATATTGACAAGGGTAGAATTTATCTCCTAGAGGAGAATGCAATGCTTCTGTTAAGTGCTAATATAACATTTATGTGTTGGTACCTTAATAACAGCCCCAGCTTACCTAATGAAAGTTGAAAAAGTGCTAATATAACATTTATGTGTTGGTACCTTCATAACAGCCCCAGCTTACCTAATGAAAGTTGAAAGCAAACAGTACTCTCTGAGATTTTATTATGACTGAAGCAACTGCAATTTGAGGCAAATTATCCCTACTTTTGTTCCCATATCAAAAACAGAGATGCTAAGGCAATTGCTACATGTTTGGTATGGAATTAGGTTCCACTCTCATTAATCTACAAGGAAGAGCATTTTTCATGTAAACAGCTCACGAGGGTCACAGAGAAGAGCTGTTGCTGTGAAAAATGCTTGTCAATAACTTTGTGAGTGAATTTTGAAATAAAGTGCCTGTAACCTGTCATTATTCCTTCCTCTCAAAGTCGAGAGTGAGTGGATGAAAATTGAGCATGTGAATTGAAAACAGGGTGAGTGTTATGGCCTTATCGACTTCAGGTAAAATGACTGTTTTAACTTGTTATTATTTTTCCATTCAGAGGTCAGGCAATGTACAGTATTACCAGCATAAACTGCAGTGTAAGCAAATTGGTATACAAAAAGGCTATTACCTACACTCACAAAGCAGAGGAAAGTATAAGTCACTAATATCAAGTGGACTTGTGATCTCTACAAAAACGAAACAGCCAACAGTGCTTTGAAAAAGAATAGCATAGATATGTAAGTATGAAGTATCTAAGAGGATGAAAACATAAATACAGATGTTTAAATAAATATGTGTATGTTTAGAAGGCAGGTAAGAGATACACATATTTTTTAAATTACATATAAATCATACTTGTTTTGCAAAGGAATTGTGGAATCATGATGATATTAGACACCCCACCTCTACATGTCACCTTAATTTTTCCTGAGATCATCTTGAAAGTAATTAGCTCCTAAATTTTCAAGTCCATCTGATGTATTCTTTTGAATACCAGAATATTACTGTGGTCTCCCTTCTCCCTAGAGAAAAAGGAACTCAAGGAGCTTTGAAAATATTAAAAACCCTTTCCGTGTCTTCTAGATTTTTACTTTGAATTCTGAAACACAGTTTAGGAATTCAGTATGACTGTTAGGTTTGCAAGAAAAACATTTCTCTCAAAGTAACCTCAAGCCTATAGAAACTGTATATTCAATCCTAGTGTTCAATTTATTTTTGTTTCAGAGGACCATCTAGTTTTTCTGTTTCTGAATCTGATTTTTCCATCACTGATACTGATTTTTCTATTATAGACTCAGGTGGTCAGAAATGGGCAGATTGGCCTAGAAATTAAAAGAGGTTATAAAAGGACTCAATGATTGAAAGCAAATTCAGAGAGAGAAAGGCTTACATATAATTTTGAAGACATGTTCATATGTCTACTCATCAAATTCCCAACTAAAATAAAAGGCTTAAATTCTTTTACTTCTAAGCAAGTTTTCCGTGGCTTCAAAAAAAATTATAATGATCTAATATAAAAGAAAGATAATATGTTGGCATTTCTTTGCTTCCCATTTTCTCAATTTATTCATTCCCTGAGTGAATATTTACTGGTTGGACATTGTACCAATCATGATAATACAATAATCTCAGGAGAGTAACTGCCTTTATCTAGGGAGGAAGAGAGAATAAGGACAGTAGTGAGATAAATTGTCACGATAACACTGGAAGAATGCAAGCTCCATGGAGGCAAGGATTTTCATGGTTCTGTTCAGTTACATATCATAAACACCTAAACCAGCACCTGGCATAGGGAAGACACATGATATATTTGTTGAATGCTGAATAGGTGTGACGGGGCATACCAGTGCAATTCAGAGACCAAGGGATGGTCAGCAAAGACTTCCCCAGTAAAAGATAAGTCTAACCTCTGGGAATATTGACATGATTGACCCAAGTAGAGTTAGAGCAGGACCTTCGGTATCAATGGAACAGAGAATTCCAAAATTGAGGTTAGAGAGAAGAGAGAGCTGAAAGAATTGCTGTTAATTCGACATGGCTGCAGCAATGAGTGAGGGGTGGGGCATGCAGAGCTGGTTGAAGTAGATACAGGACAGACTCTGTAAGGCCTGATGAGTCATGCTAAGAAGTTTGGACATTAGACCAGAATCCATTGAATAATTTTAAGCATGCAGGAGCTTGAAAAAAAAAGGCAGATACATTTTAGGAAAAGATTACTCTAGCTGAAGTGTGGCAGATGGATTGAAGAAGAAGGTTGGAGTTGAGGAGACCAGTTAGGAGGCTTTGCAGACATCAAAGCAGCATACAAATGACAGTGGCCTATATTTAGAAAAAAGTAAAACAACAGAGAGAAATAGGCATATTTAAGTGGTTTTAAGGTGTTAGAAATGACAAGATTTGTTGGCTGCCTGGAATGAGGTGAAAAGAAGGAGCTAAGTAAGACAAAAGAGACAAAGGTAAGACCCAGTTCTACAGCTTTGGACAACTGAGTTGATAGTTGACATTTCCCAAGGTGAAAAAGATATGTTTGGTAAGGAAGGTAACAAGTTCACATTTGGACATGCTAGATTGTTTAAAGTATCTTGTTGAAATAGCCCTAGTTTCTGTACTGATCCCAGAAATCTGGGACAGATTTAGACCCAGACTAAGTCCATTACAACTAATGGATGAAACAAATCTAAATACCTATCATAGCACTTAGAAGCAATAGTTTTCATACATTCAAAACAAATTGCATTTATAATATAAAAGTATTTTTTTTATAAAAGTCTTTATGAAATGCAAAAGTAGCGGGACATGGTGGCTAACACCTATAGTCCCAGCTACTCGGAAGGCTGAGGCAGGAGGATCACTTTTATTATAAAAATCTTTATGAAATGCAAGGGTAGAAGGGCATGGTGGTTCATGCCTGTAGACCCAACTACTTGGGAGGCTGAGGCAGGAGGATCGCTTGAGCCCAGGAGTTCAAGACTACAGTGCACTATGATTGTGCCTGTGAATAGCCACTGTGCTCCAGCCTGGGCAACATAATGAGACCCCATCTCAAAATTTTTTAAAGAAATGCAAAGGTTTACAAAGAGCAAACTGTTTCTGAGAGTTAAGTTATTGTAATTATCCTGAATTGTGACTAATCAATGAAAAGAATGGCGCCACAGACTAAGTTACCACAAATGATGCTCTGTATGCTTTAGGAATTAATTATATCTGTACAGGTGAGACACTTAAATATTTTTGCACTTATAGCTACATGACATGCAAGCACTAAAATAACATTGAATTGAACATACAGATTGAGCATCCCTAATTTAAAATCCGACATGCTCTGAAATTCAAAACTTTTTGAGCACCAACATGACGGTACAAGTTACCCTAAACACCTTGTTTTAACAGTAAATAAGTGTAAGAAAATGATTGCTTGTCGGTAGCGTATAAATTCAGAGTCAGAAATGATAGTGGTGTCAAATAACCAGAGATTGTCCACATAGGTGGCTGAGATAGTGACAGCTTTGCTTTTTGGTGGTTCAATGTACACAAACCGTTTCATGCACAAAATTATTAAAAATATTGTAAAATATTAGGCTGGGCGTGGTGGCTCATGCCTGTAATCCCAGCACTTTGGGAGGCCAAGGCAGGTGGATCACGAGGTCAGGAGTTCAAGACCAGCCTGGCCAACATGGTGAAACCCTGTCTCTACTAAAAATACAAAAATTAGCCAGGTGTGGTGGCATGTGCCTGTAGTCCCAGCTACTTGGGAGGCTGAGGAAGGAGAATTGCTTGAATCTGGGAGCCAGAGGTTGCAGTGAGCCAAGACTGCGCCATTGCACTCCAGCCTGAGCAACAGAGTGAAACTCCCTCTCGAAAAAATAAAAATAAAAATAAAGAATATATATATATTATAAAATACTATTTTCAGGCTATGTGTGTAATGTGTATACAAAGCATAAATGAATTTTGTGTTTATATTTAAGTCCCATCCCAAGTATTCCAGAGTATGCTAAGTATTCCCAAGTATTTCAAAATCCAGAAAAATCCAACGTCTGCAGCACTTCTGTTCCCCAGCATTACTGATAGGGAATACTCAACTTATATATACCCACATATATTTTTAAACATATATAATTTCTTATATTTTATCTTGCTTGGTTCTACAAAAGATATTAGAATAAAGATAGAAGAACTATTCAAAATGCAAACATCTATAACCCCTAGTTTATATTGGCAATTACGGACAACAATTATTAATTAAGAGCTAATTAACTGAACTACTTTATGTGTTTCAACCTATTTTCATTTATTACATAATTTTTAATTTACTAAATATGTACTTAGTGTGTATATGTAAACCTAATAATGTTTCTGGAATACTAGCAGATCCATTCTGACATCAACATCCAGATTGTTGCCTTTTATTGCTAGGAAAACCACACAAGTGTGATGCAGTGGCACAGGTCGTATCCTGATGGTGGTGGTAATTCCTAGTCTTCCCAGAGATGCTGCAACCAAGTGGCATGTCACTGCAGTGGCAGACGAACCATTTAAAAGGAAGCATTTTGCTTTGAAGAAGAAAGCTAAGGGTTTTCAAATGGAATGTGAAGCTGTGGCATCCAGTTCTGCTTCCAGTGCATCAACCCTCATCTCTTTACAATGAATGTCACCTTCTAACTCCCTATCTGATGTACATAGGACTCTAGAGGACCTGATAACTGTATTTGTACAAGAAAGGGGAAGAATGTAAAATTCACCAAGCTCCACCATTGTGTTTTAGAATATTCTATTTAAAAATACAACATTATAATGCTGAATTTCTGCAAGCAGGTAAGAAGACCATTAGAAAGGCGAAAAGAAAGTGCAGATTGTGGAGCAACATCATTTGTGCTCATCAGAGAGAGAGAATAACATAAGCAGCATGGGAGACTTTTGCCCCCTATCCAGTCAATGAGAGTGTAGGATGAGACATAGGAATCCACTGTTTCCACTGTTGTTCTCAGCTCTTTTATATCTTCTGTGTGAACCTCTTACTACTCTATGAGTGATTGCAGAGTTTAAAGCAGTGCATTTTTCCTACTCAACAACCTTCTTTATTATATTCCAAACCATGTTTAATGTATAATGATGCACACATTATACATTCATACATGCATATTAGTGAATAGGTTTGTACCTATTTGTAGTGAATAGGTACTTAGTACCACGAATACTATTCTTTAGAGATGACTTACAGAATTTAAACCAACCCCAATGTAAATCTGGCTTCATGCTCCAAACACATAAGTAAAAACCAAAATGTCATCCCCCACACCAGCTCTGACTCAGAGGGAAGCTCCACCGTTTATTTTCCAAGAGCATTTTACAGAAAGGGCTTTGATTCATGGTGCTAAGAGACAGAAACACTCCAGTGTGCACTTGGCATATTTCGCTGTGTAGCTAGCTACCAAAGCAAGGGTTCTGAACCAAGAGACACATTTCATTCTCATCATGGAAGTCAAGCTCAAGAATGAGACCATTTTGCTGACCAACTGGTTAATTTCCAATTTAAGCAGCAGTGGGAAGTTCTCACTCTTTCCAAGCCAAAGATAGTTTTGGTTTTTATTTGACCAACTTCATGTAAATGACACTGACCGACAGTTGATTCAGAACAATCAAGTCCAATTTGATGTACTATTCCTTTATCAAATTAGCCTAAATTGCATGCAAAGCCCCTCAGTGGGTTTTAAAATGCAGTTGTATGTCAGACCTTGCTATAGGTGCATTTGAATTCAATATTTGCCAATTAAATTGTACTTTGAACATTTTATGGAAGTCAGCTTTTAAAATGCATTTCCTACATCAGATATTTCTAAAGTAAAGTGAATAACTACCTGCTCATTTATCTTTTTGTTTAAATACAGATTTTAATATACTTCATTTGTTTAAAGCAAAAGCCTTTCTAGAGCTAACATTTAATCTTTAGGACTTTTGGGGATTGATTGTTTCTTTGCAGGCTGAACAACATAATAACAGTTATGTCCCACCAACATTGTGGTATTATTATCTTTACATTGCAACAAAGAGAGGAAGGCACAGTTGCTTCTGGTCATGATTCCGAGATCAGTCACCTGCCTCCTTCATGGATAGTAAGGTAGAGGATCGTTGTTATATGAGTTCTGGTTCAGTGTCCTTTTCACTGCTCTACTGTCTACTGCAAGAAAGAGAAAATAGGTGTATGAAAAATAGAGAAGTGGCTGCTTACCATGTAAGTCATGAGAAAGCCTATCAGTGACTTTGAAATCGGCTCATAAAGGGAAAAACAGAGACTATACTAATAAATTCAGTGCCTAATTAGCATAAATCTTTTTACAGCCTTGGGATTTTTCCATGGTTTAATCCTTTGTGAAATAAAATGCTCCATAATGGTTTATAACACACCATCCTGTGGCAGCTTTAGTTTTGGGGAAATGATACATATGTCTTCATAAAACAAATAATTCAGAGCATATCTCTTTACACCTGTATGCTCGTTTTTAAGGGCAGGGTCTACACATTCACATTTTCATGAATATGATATGAATATGATATTGATTAATCTGTATTAATTTAACTAATATAAAAGATGGTTATGGAAGTTAGCTTTTAAAATGCATTTCCTACATCAGATATTTCTAAAGTAAAATGAATAACTGCCTGCTCATTTATCTTTTTGTTTAAATACAGATTTTAATATACTTAATTTGTTTAAAGCAAAAACCTTTCTAGAGCTAACATTTAATCTAAGATCCCAGCATTTATTTTTCCTGCACTTAGCCTGAAACAATACTACAAGGAAATTCAACTGGACATTCTCTAATAGATTTAAAACATAAAATAAAGAAAGCAATGAAAATGTGACAGAAACAAACTCCTCTCATTCAGGAAGGAAAGAATGAAACAGAGCCTGACAGAATCTGATTGTTGTTCTACTAGGAGTAGTTTTAGAGAAAATATCAGCCTAGTAAAATGTATTTCCTTTTTGCATCTTGCCTACTTAGCTGCTGACATTCCACGGTCTCATATTATTCTCTGAATAAATTATACTCATTTTGTTTAAAAAAATTTTAACATATATTTAAATAGTGCAGTTTTCGGGGGAAGAGGAACTGTGCTGAGCTGTGCGTTATACTAATGGCATTCGGTGCAGAATGAGTCATCATGGTTTTTATTTATTCATTCATCCTTGGATCCTTTTAAAAGTCTCCAAGGCCCTAATGACCATCATCATTATCATCAGTAAAAACTGCTTTCTGGTGAAAAGGCAATAGGCATTAAATTTAGAGGCAGCATTAAATTATCGGTAAAGAGGACTTGAAATAGTACTACATGCATATTCCTGGACACAATATACTGAAAGTTCATATAGCAGCACTCAAGCAATCTCTTTTATAAAGTTTATGATTAAGATATTCTCTTCTCTTTTCAAGGCAATACATTTAGCTCAGAAGAAAATAAAATATAGGCCAGTTTCTATGTTCCAGGTGTAAACACTGGAAGTCAAAGGTTTCAGCCATAACAAGGTTCTTAATTATAAATAAAACTTTTAAAAATTGTCAGTATTAAAATTTTATTTCAAGCATTTCCCCTACCTATGGCAGTTCCTTACATTGTCTAGTGAGTGAGTGAAAAAGCAGTGAGAAGAGTTTTAATAAACTTTGTTAAGTCTTTTTTGTCTCAGACATACTTTAAATATCCCAGTGTCATTCAATAAGCTAATGGAGGTCTTACTTCTCATGTAATCTCCAGCAACAGAATTAGACTAGATCCGCAGGGCCAAAATCCACTCATTCAGGCATGAACTTGTGTGGCATTGAAAGTATGGGAAAATTAGTACCTTGTGATAAATCAAGAGCATCATTACACTTGGCAGTCCTCATAACTTTCCCTTATCCACAATCCCATCATAATTTGGGTAGGTGATGACATTCAGAAAGATATCAGGAAGAGAAAGGACGAGAAAGTTGACTTCTTAGGTTTGTGGAAACATTGTAGGTTAATTCAAAGTGTTCTGAATTTGAAGCAAGGCTGCATTACAGATCATTATCTGCTATATATAAATGGTTCATTCTATTAAACTATCTGTCTAACCTTAGGCATTGCGAGATGTCTGATATTGAAGCAGGTGGTCAGGTATTTCAACTTTCTGCCTTTTTTTTTTTTTTTTAAAAAAAAGACATAAAATCTCTGTATGGAACAGAATACCATATAATTTGCAATGTAGCTTCTGTTACAGGCTACGGTCAATGAATTTTCTAGCTCTATGAATGCGGTTCTTTTTTAATTTTGTCATTTTTTTTTTAATTGAAAGTTAGAGTGACATATCTTTTTGAAAACAACTGATAATCTCTTCAAAGCCTCAATGTCCTTTTCTATAAAGTGGAAATGCTAGCTAGCCTTGTTCACATTTAGAGTGGCAGTAGTAATCAACTGAGATAATCTATGTGAAAGTGTTTTTGTTCATTGTTAGGAATTGTACCAATGCAAGTTGTTGCTGTTGCTCTTTTTGTTATTCTTCTGAGTCTTCCAGTGGTTTTAAAAAAGATAAAATTGTGTTTTCACTCTTTATCACATTCTTTAATAAGCAGGCTTTTGTTTGCCCCCAAGTTTTAAAGCATAATTTAAAGCCATGTCTAGTTTTATTGTTGATTGTTGTAAATAGATTTCCCTAATCTGGGTATATAGTGAGGCAGAGGTTGTCGAAGAGAATTCGCTTCCATTGACACTCTAAACTCTTCCGGCTCTTCAGTACTTCTACAAAGTGGAAAATGACTTCTTCTTTAATCAGAGCCTTCCTGTTGCCTCTTGCAAAGTCATGTCTTATCTCTCTTAAGCTCCTTTTCCCTGCTGCTTGAGAATGATAGCATTTTCTCCCTCCAGCTTGCCCCACCTCCCTTACCAGAGCAGATTGACCAATGCCTCATCTCAGTAGCAGGCTGATGATGGGATCTCCTTTGGAAAGAATTCTGCATTTGACATTTTTTTCATCATCCTTTTTGTTTTAATCCTAAACATTACAATTACTCACTTTTTAAAAGAACTCTGAATGAAATGTATGTAGTTTATTTTGCATTCTTACTACACTAATAGCATCTTTATTATCTTTTAACTGCCTATAAAACATTAATGGAGGTCAAAACAGGATCTTATACTTCTATGGTTCATGTTTTTGAGCTGGAAAATCATTCTTAACTCTTAGTATTGTGGGAGAGGAAAAACATCTTTTTCTGTCTACCCTTCTAAGTTCTTGACTGGGCCTCCTTTAGCAGAAGACAGATTAATAGGAAAAAGGCATACAAATTTATTTAATGTAAGTTTTTTGTGACACAGGAGCCTTCATAAGGAAGTGAAGACCCAAAGAAATGGTTATATCTGACCATTGTTATGCTAGGTTTGATGAAAACTAGAAAGTCATGGAAAAATGGGTTAGGACAAAGAGTGTAAAATAAGTGTTATAAACAGAGGGGAAGCCTAGGAAGGCCTGTTAGTTCTGATTCCCCTCAGTGTCCCATATTCAGAGGTAAGAATGCTCCTTTCCTCAGGGTAGAAGGAGGGCACCTCCCACATGAGAGGCTTATAACCTGCTTCAGGGGAGAAGGACAGAAAAGGCCAGGGAGAACTTTCTGTCGTTTCTCAAATTCCTTCAGCTTAAAATATTCAATATGCCAAGGTGCCATATTTTGGTGTAGCACATCAGTTTCAAAAGTGAAATAATGCTCTGCACTGTCACCAGGTTTAGCATGTGTGTTAGGCAGTTTAATCTTTTTTGTTACTGTAAGAAACCTGCCCCCAAATTAACTGATATGAGGTATAACAGTTAAAACTTCATAGACATTTTGAATTGTATTGATAGCTGAGAATTTCTAGACAATTCAAAACTTTCTAAATCTTGTATACTCTATAGACTTCTGAAGTCAAATTGCCGTCGTGAAATTTCGGTTGTTCAGAATTATATACTAAGATTAGCTGGCGAAGTAGACTTCGGTCTTCTAATTACTGATCACAATGACTTAAGAAAACATGTTTAAACTAATTAAAGGTTTAAGCAGTGTTTGCAGTTGAAATAACTTTTGGGCTCAGCATTTGCCCAATTCACCACACTAAGAACAAAATATTCTAATCCTTCAAATAGATTAAATTGAGTGCTGAAAAATTCAATTTCACACAGTATCTACAAGTATATTTATATAGGACTGAAATTAATTATGTAGAACAATTTGAGTTTCAACACCTATAGTTATGGAATTTGGAAATGTAAAAAACAGAGAGCTTTTATTGTTATTGATATATTTGAAAGCTTCACCACCAAACCTTCTCTTCAGCAAATTTTTATATGGCTTTTAAAAAATTTCTTTAAAATGAATTTTAGTTCTCTATAAGTAAATCAAAGAGTGTTCCACCAAAGTGAACCATATAATAAGATGAGGCATTGTTTCAGCTGTACAAAACTGAGAATTCAATCTGACAAATATTTATTGGGGCACATAGATTAATAAGGCAAAATCCCTGCCTACTTACAATTTAAGTCTTAGAATAAATAGAGGGTGTGTAATAAAGTTGTCAGACTGAGAGCTCAACTCAGTTCATGTGGTGGCTACTGTATTTGGGTGATCCTAATAGTCCTAAATATTAATCTAGAAGAAGGCCAGTAGAGCAATTCTTAACATCCAATCTTTTACCCATGGTTGAGATAAGCCTCACTTTGGAGAAAATGTTATATATGTAAGTTTACAAAACAGGTAAGCTTAAGGGGAAAAGTGAATTTATTATTCTATTACAAAATAGGGGGGATGGTCTCTTTCCTAAAAGATTCATAGTTAAGGTCATTTAACTAGCAAACACCTATAGTGGCATTAACATAGAATCAATTTTGCAAAAAAATCAATTTACATTTAATTTTCCAAAAGTGACAGCCCATAAGGCCAATGCCTAGAAAGGTGATGATTATAGAGTGAACATTTTATAAGATGAGGACATCTTTCAAAAGTTGACATATTTGGTTGGCATTCACTGTTAAACTGATAGAATACCTGATCATTCCCACTAAGCCAAAGGCATAGGGTAAAAATACGGCAAGAGACCCTTCTAAAATGTGGCTTCTTTTTCCACCCACAGAAACGCTATATTATTATAATTCAAAACAGAATATGGTCAATAAAATATTTTTATACTAAACTTTTAATTTAGAATGAATACATTAAAAAATAAACAGTTGCTGACTGCGTAAAGGAGAAAAATTCACTGCTGATACTTACAGTTTTTTTTTTAAGAAAGCAGCGATTTTGCCAAGTTTCATAGTTCAGGCATTAGAACTCTGCCACTGCTCCAAAAAATAAAAATAAATAATAACTAGTTAAATTAGTGTTTGGGGAAATAGATTAGATTGTAATGTATGCAAGCAATTAAGCAACACTGACTTGATTCACTGTGATGTCTAAAATGGCATTTTAAAAAATGAAAGTAGCTAAATTTGGCCCTGATAAAATATATAGCAGCAATGGGTTAGGAATTTTGCAGTTTTGCCCAAAGAGTCCAATCAAACAACCCATATATTAGGTGGCCGTTAACATGCTGGTAGCTGAATTTTTTACATCAGTTTCCAAGGTTGCACAGTAATTACATCTACTGTGAGTCATTTTTGCAGCATATTTTATAAAACTTTTACAGGTTTGCTGGGAAGTGATTATTCAAAGTCACCTTTTATAGATTCTACCATGAATATTAGACAATTCTTTGAAAATGTTAGTGTTTACCACTCACATTGCTTCTGGTTTAGGTGTAGCTGGCATTTGAGCGTTTAGTATAGTATATTATAGTATATGAGTAGAACTTCCTTTTCTCTGTAGACCCTCTGTTCCCTAGCATTACCAGTTTATGTTCCCACTGAGCTACTGCCAGAACAAAATAAATCCAGTTGCCTTTTGCTGTTCAAGGCCAACCAAGCAACCATGGAAAGAATTTGTTGCTCTGAGCATTTGTCCTAGCATGTCATTACAAGGTAGTGATGTGCAATCTCATGACCAGTGCAGTCCACAAAGGGGTTGCTCATTTAAAGTGCTGACGAATTTAGATGTAATATTTTTGTGCTTGCCCTTTTATTCTTATTACCAATTATATCCAGTCAGTGCCCAGAGATGTATTTGAGGCTGTGATTGGATAAACCACTTAGCATAACTTTTCGATTCACTGCTTATTAAATCAAATATGCATTAGCTTATTCTATTTGCATTAGTACATTTTTACAGCGGAATGAAAAGTCCTGTTCGTTTCTTCAGATTAATATTTTAAACATATCTTACTGTTTTGTTTCAGGGATGGCATCATATTAATTTTAGGCTATAAAGGCCAGGTAAGAAAAATAACAGGTTGCATTTTAGGGAATGTTGCATGATTTCACTTCGGTCAATATCAGTGTTGGAATTGGGGAATCAGTATTGGAATTCAGGAGGGGGAAAGATAAATGGCAGTAAAACTTGGGCTCTATGGAAGGTTAAAAACGAAAAGGGAAGAGAACAAACTATTCTTGTTTTCTGGGGTCAGTAGCAGCCTCAGCACAATCTTCAGCAAAGCCCAAATAATATGTGATATCTCTAGCTCAAAAGCTGTGGGGGTCAGAAGATGATGGTTGGCATAGTAGAACCAACGTCTTTCACCTTTCTGCTCACCGAGGATCCAGAAAGCAAATGCAGTTTTGTTTTCTCCATTTTCCTCACTCTTTTGCCATGGTAGCAAGCATGTTTGTAAGCTTTGCTGATTCCTCTGCCTTTGCCACCTTGAAATCTTCTGTTTACATGGTCTGCGTGTTGTGACCAATTTGCTTATGGGGTTCCCTCACTTCTCCTCATTTAAAGGAGAACACATTTTTGAAATCAGATTTTAGACCTTAAAATTTATAAGTAGCAATTTCTACAGTTTTGGAAAAACCTTTGAAAACTGCTTATTCATCTAACACGTATCTAGAGAGGGTCTGCTCTTGAGTGGAGGCTCTTCTTAGCAGTGTGGGTTCAGTGGTAAAGACAAACATCTTGTCTTCATGGAGTTTACATTCTGATGGAAGAGAGTTGATTAAAAAAATTATTATAAGTGCTGTGAAGAGAAAAAAGCAGGGTAAGGGAGAGAGAAAAACAAGTTAGTCACTATTTTAGATAAAATGTTCAAGAAAGGCCTTTGTGAGGAAGTGGCATTTGTACAGACCTAGATGAAGTGAGGGAATGAGTCCTGCCACGCTCTGAGAGTAGAGTATTTCAGAAGGACTAAGTAGCTCCTGCAGAGGCTTTGAGGCAAGAACACAATTAACATGCTTAGAAGCAGCAAATGCAGCTAGAACAGAGAAAATAAACAAAACATTGGAAAGATGGAGATATAAACAGTGGCCAGATGATGGAGAACATTTGAGATCCCTCTTAGGCAGCTGGATTTTATTCTGAATGTCCTGGGATGCCATGAACGATTTCAGGCAGGGAAAGTAGCATTTTCTGACTCACCTTTCTAAAATATATCTTGGCTGCTGTGTGGAGAATATTATGAAGGAACTAGGCTTGGGCATGTGAAAGACTGGAAGCAAGGGGATCCATTAGAAGACTGTACTGTAGTTTATGCTAACAATGTACATGTCTTGGGCTACATTAGTAGCAGTTGAGGTGGCAAGAAATAATCAAGATGCAGGGTATATATTGAAGACTTGATAGGATGTTGGTGAATTTGGATGAGGAATGCAGGAAAGAAAGTCAAGGATGGGCTCTGGCCCTTTAGCCTGAGCAAGTGCATAAATACTGCTGCCACTTATCAAAATGGGGTAACCTGAGGAGAAGCAGTCTGGAAGGCAAAGAGGAGTGTATTAGTCAGTTTGGGCTGCTATAACAAAATACCAACAACTGGATGCTTAAACAACAGAAATTTATTTCTCACAGTTCTAGAGGCTGAGAAGTCCAAAATCAAGATGCTAGTTGATTTGCTTCCTGTTGAGGTCTCTCTTGCTGGCATCTTTCTGTGTTTTCACATGGCAGAGAGAGAAAGAGTGAGAATGAGAGAGAGAGAGAGAGAGCGAGCACACTAGCAAGCTAGCTCTTGGTGTCTCTTCTAAAAAGATACTGATCCCATCAAACCAGAACCTCACTCTCATGACCTTGTCTAACCTTAATTACTTCCCAAAAGCTCCATCTCCAAATACCATCACATTGGAGATTAGCGTTTCAACATATGAACTTGGGGGAGACACAAACATTCAGTCCATAACAGGGAGATATGGTTGTGGTCATTTTTCTGCTTTTCTTAACTGCAGATGCAGACTTGTTTATCAGTCACTCAAGTAAATATGAATACTTAACTACAGGAGTGTGGAGCTCAGGGAGAGTTTGAGGTGGGAGGTATAAATCTGGAAGGCTTCTCATAAAGATTTAAAACCACAAAAGGGATGTGAACACCTAGGAAGTTGAAGGAGGAGGAAAAATGCCAAGGACTAAAAGAGTTGGCGGATTCAGTAAGGAGACTAAGAAGTTCCTGAGGCAACAAGAATACTAGCAGAGTATTGTGTCTCAGAAACCAAAGAAAGAATAGTGTTTTTGTTGTTGTTGTTTTGTTTTGTGTTTTTTTTATTATTATTATACTTTAAGTTTTAGGTTGCATGTGCACAACGTGCAGGTTTGTTACATATGTATACATGTGCCATGTTGGTGTGCTGCACCCATTAACTCGTCATTTAGCATTAGGTATATCTCCTAATGCTATCCCTCCCCACTCCCTCCACCCCACAACAGTCCCTGGTGTGTGATGTTCCCCTTCCTGTATCCATGTGTTCTCATTGTTCATTTCCCACCTATGAGTGAGAACATGCGGTGTTTGGTTTTTTGTCCTTGCAATAGTTTGCTGAGAATGATGGTTTCCAGCTTCATCCATGTAGAATAGTGTGTTTTAAGAGAGAGAGAGGGAGAGACAGAGCTTAATTGCATCAAATGCCATTGATGGGTCAAATAAGATAAGTACTAAGAACTGGCCTCTGATCCTAAGCAAAGTAACACAGGAACAGAAAACCAAATACCACAGGTTCTCACTTGTAAGTGGAAGCTAAACATTGAGTACACATGAACACAAAGATGGGAAGAATAGACCCGGGGGCCTACTTGAGGGAGTGTGAGAGGAGACTGAGGGTCAAAAAACTACCTATTGGATACTATAGGTAGCGATTTTGTCACTACCTGGATGACAAAATCATTTGTACACCAAACCCCAGCAACATGCAATTTACCCATGTAACAAACCCACAAATGTACCCCTAAACCTAAAATAAAAGTTGAGAAAAGAAAAAATAAAGAACCAACTATTGGATATAGCTAGAAGGAGAATGCTGGGGATCCTGACAAGAATGGTTTCTGTGGAAAAATGGAGAAGACAGCCTGAATGGAGTGGGCTAGAAAGAGAAGTCAGTGAAGAGGTGAATATGGAAAGCCTACACATGGAAGCCTTTTGAAGGTTTTATTTTGCTGCAAGGTAGAGAGAAGAAATGGGACAATAATTAGGATGTGTGGTCTAGAAAAGAATTTTTTTTTCAACTTTTAGTTTAGATGCAGGGGATGCATGTGCATATTTGCTGCAAAGGTATATTGCATGATGTTGAGTACGATTGAACCCATCACCCAGGTAGTGAGCATAGTACCCGATAGGTAGCTTTTCAATCCTTCCCCCACTTCTTCTCCCTTCTTGTATTCTCCAGTCTATTGTTTCCATCTTTGTGTCCGTGTATACTCAATGTTTAGCTCCTTATAAGTGAGAACATGCAGTATTTGGTTTTCTGTTTCTACATTAGTTTGCTTAGGATAATGGCCTCCAGCTCCATCCATGTTGCTGCAAAAGATGTGACTTTCTTTTTTATGGCTGTATGGTATTCCATGGTGTTTATATACCACATTTTCTCTATCCAGTCCACCATTGATGGGCACCAGGTTGAATCTATGTTTTTTCTTATTGTGAATAGTGCTGGATGAGCATACAGATGCATGTGACTTTTTGGTGACGATTTATTTTCCTTTGGATATATATGCAGTAATGGGATTGCTGAGTCGAATGGTAGTTCTCAGTTCTTTGAGAAACCTCCAAACTGCTTTTCACAGTGGCTGAACAAATTTACATCCCCTGCAACAGTGTATACGTGTTTCCTTTTCTCTGCAGTTCTGCCAACACCTGTTATTTTTTTTTAATTTTTTAATAGAAGCTATTCTGACTGCTGTGAGATGGTATCTCTTTGTGGTTTTGATGTGCATTACTCTGATGGTTAGTGATAATGAGCATTTTTTCATGTTTCTTGGCCACTTGTATGTCTTAGAGAAGAGTATTTTTTAAATGAGAGATACTGCAGCCTGCATTTATGCTGATTCAGTAGAAAAGTAGAAACTGAAGATACAAGAGAAAGAATAGCTGTAGAAGTGAATGGTCAAGAAGGAATGAGATGCATTGCACAAGCAGAGGAGTTGGTCTTACATGGGAACATGGTTCCCGTTGTAAAGAAAGAAAACGCAGAGTACATGGAGGTAGATTCCATAGTGAGAAGATAAAGTAATTCTTTTCTGATTTCTCAGTCTTGTATTGAAATAAGAGGCAAGCTCATTAGCTGAGAGTGAGGAGTAGAGAGAAATGTCGGAATTTGGGGAAAAAGGAAAGGGTATGGGTGTGAAACACCAGCTTAGAAAAGTAGAAGTATACATCGACTATATAAATATAGTGGGATGCTGAAGGCCCATTTAAAATCAGTAAATATAAATTTAAGATGAGACCAGTGAGTGTCTCTCTATTTAAAATGAGCTTAGCCTGTGTGTTTTCCTAGCCAACTTTGCTACCTGGTGCAGGCAGATAGTAGGTGGAGAGTTGGATTTTTAAAGAAGATTAGGGTTGTTCTAGGTGAGTAAAGTCAGAGGTGGTCAGAAGTAGAGAGACGGAAGAGTTCTTTTGTTTTTTTCTTTTTATCATTTCCAGTAATCTTTTGCTAAAACCAATTTCCCTAACTAAAACCCATTGTGTATGCTGGTATGTAGGCGTTCAATTTTTTCTTAGTCATGCCATAACTAAAAAATTCAAAAGCTGAAAAATAGCTTTCCCAACATAAGTACTATAATTTGTTCTATCTCCCACTTATTTAATTCAAGTTGAGAACTCTTTTTAAACTCCTTTTTACCAGTTTTTCTAGTTTTTCTTATATAATATATAACAGCATAAGCTGTAGAGAAATAATTATGGATGTTATTAACATTGGCACTTTTGAGTTTCAAAACAACTTGCTGTAAGAATGTTTAGAAAAATACCTTATTCATGAAAGGGGGTTTGTTTAAAATGAATCATATTACATTTGGTGAGTGCATATAATTCCCTAATTCCATGAAAACCATTAGCAAATGTAATTTTGTTGATGAAGACAGCAATGCAAATACTGATACCTTCTCCCCCAAATGCTTATATAGCCAATCAAGATATAAAAAACAAAAATCTTAGTTCATTCAAGTGGTAGCCTTTTAATCTCACACTTTTTTCCCCTCATTTCTGCCCTTCCACTTCCTTGAGAGAGGGACCATGATGCAAAATAGGGGCATACAATAAAGAATTGGCCACTACAGAAACGTGGAAGACAGGAAGGCATCACAACTGGAGCCTAGGCAATGGCAGATGTCTTCTTCCATTCTCCTCCTTTGTTGGAATATGGTAGTATTTAAGTATTACCCAGGGATTCTAAGACTGAAAATGAAAGTATTTTTAATAGAAAAAGAAACAAGATTATAAATCTAGAAGATCTGATAAGGATTTTTTTTTTTTGGCTGGGTTGTTTTAGAATCCTTCTTAGTAAATGCCTTTGACATTTGATTGCTACAGCTCCCCCATTCAGCCTAAAATTTAAAAGCTAGGCTTTCTTTCTCTAGGCTCTTAGTTTAAGAAGGAGAGTGACGAAGAACATTTTTAATTCCTTTCTTCATTGTCCAATTTGTTCACAGAACAGGAATGGTCACTAAGATTCAGGGTCAATTTGATATTCATAATTAAAGAGTAGGAATGCAGTAGGAGCATCCATTCTGTGTGTCTCTTGTTATTAACTTGATTGTACATGCATAGGAGCAGAAGAGCAAGAGGGAGCCTCAACACCAGGCATGTGGGCAGGATTGAAAGAAGGTGCCGGAAATGAGGGGACAGAGTACCACAACCCGGTCTCTAAGACCTTCTGTTTTAATAGTCTCATGTAAATTTGTCTGCTTATTTATTATAGGGGTCCTTAATTTCTGGGGGATAGAGGTGCTCATGGACTCCTTTAAGAATCTAATAAAATCTATAATACCCCCCAAGATTTTAAACATACACATTAATTTTGAAAATAATGCCTAACATTCATGAAGCCAACATTAGAGATAACTGTGTTACATTATCTTAAAAATGCAAGCAAACCAGTAAGTTATTTATGAAGTTCTGAATTTGATATGGAGTACAGTGATGTCTTGAGTATATTTTTGGGAAACAACTTGATTTTCTTCATTAATTTGAAAGGTTTATATGAAGAAACAGAAAAATTAGAGCAACTCCTACCTAAAAAGTTTATAGTATTGTAAAAGAAGATGATCGGAATCATTCCCAAATATTTTTAAGGCCTAACAATCTGCATTCACCCTTCTCAGCCTTAGTCCCATCCCATGCTATAGAAACCACTTTTCTGAAACAGATTGTGTAATGATTCTTGTTAATCAAGGTTCAATTTACAAATCCAAAATTATAGTGGTGTCTGTCAAATACTTCAGAAGATAATGTTGTAAAATCTCCAAAATTAGTTCAAAGAAGCATTTCCTCCAGGAAAATCTACACATTCAGGTCCTGTAAACTGGATATAATGTCTAAGCTGTGGTGCTCAGAAAGTTCTAACTCAGTGATAGACAACTCCCATAAATGTGTAGGTCGACACCTAGTTTCCATAAACACAGAGCACCTGTAACTGTATTTCTCTATTTGTGGCCCACTGGGTCTTTCCTGTGCATGAGATGTCAAATAGCAATTGTTGGGGCAAAGGGAAAAGAGAATAATCAGATCAAGACAGATAATCTGTGTCATCAAATTGAATCAAAGACAAAAACGGAGTCTTTCTCAGACAGCCAGAATGAATTTGCATTCTCTAGTCGTTAGGTCCACCTTGGGATTCCCCTCAAATAAGTGTGCCCCATCCCATTCCATATCCTTTCCATCCTCTACCCCCTTTACCCCCGCCACTCCCACACACAGAGCTTGAAAGGTGTTTGGAGAACATTTTAAAGTGTTGAAAGTGTTGAAGGTTCAGTAGTGGCATTTTCACCTTAAACTGCAAAAGAAGATATTTATTATTAAACTCTTTTTTTATATCATACTATTTCTAATAAGAGACTTTAAATGTAATATTCCAGATGTTTAGAAAAGAAACATTTAGTTTATGCTTTGAAATGTTTATTATCTTCTTAAAAATAGCTTCCAAAATCTTATTCAATTTGTTCATTCATATGTTCTGCTTTCTTTTGTACAACATATGCCAAAAACAAATATAAAACTTCAGTCTCACAAACCAATTTTTGTACATTATAATTGTAACTACATATATCATATATTTCATATTTAATATGAGAAAAATGTATTATGGTTTTCCTTAAGTCTGGGCTGGGTTTTTACAAAAAGGAAGACCATCAGATATTCAGGATTCCCTTAATTTCTCAAATGTGAATTTCATCAGAGGTGAAAGAATATAAAATGTTTCAGTGTAGTCTGCAGAGGGTACCTTGGTCAGAAACCTGGTTTGCTCCATATCACTAAAAAAGATGACACTGTAATAGATAAATTTTATTTCAGATATTTCAAACTATGCCTAGAAAATATAAACATTTAAAAAATAGTGGTCTACTTTATAAGAAATACAATGTGATTTCTACATATAAGAAATATAATGTGATTCAAAGTAATAATAGTAATGTCTCAAAATCGTGCCTTTCTCATGAAAGAACACAATTCAAATAAGATTGAACTGTATCTGTGGTTATCTTTTTCATGAATGTGACCCAGTCTCCCTCAAGCTGAGTGTCACTTTTACATACACATTCAAACATGATAAATGTCATCTTAGCATGTGTTTCACATAAGGACAGCCAAGCCTGTGGCTAGCACAATGCAAGGCCTGGAGATGCGTAGTCTCCCTTTGCCCTTCACCCTGGGGTTCATGGACCAGGGCAGTCTGATGAGGTAGAAAGAGCAGTGGACAAAGAGCTGAAAGACCTAGTCCCATCTCTGGTACTTTCTAATCATTTCAAATTGGATGAAACCCTTAATCTCTAAGGATTTCAATGTGCTTCTCTATAAAATGGAGAACAATTATGCCAGCCTGCTTCATAGAGTTGTTATGAGAATCAAATGAGATAATGTAATTGAACATGCTTCAAAAACCGTCCTACACACACATACAAGGTAAAAGAAAATCTGGATTCAAACTTTTATAGTTCTCTGGCTCTTGTTTCAGTTATAAGGAGTTTATAAATCCAGTCCTTTTTTATGGTTAGCTCTAATACTTTATAATGATGCAAAAAAGATCGGGCAATGTGCACTGTAGTTGTGCAGGAGAAGATCTGCTACTTTTTCTTTTCCATCTCAACCTCTGCTGAAGGTCATAGACAGGCCAGAGATAAAGGTCCATTTTCCTTTCTGAATTTGTCCTACCTTCAAATGTGGAAGGAAGAAGCAGCCAGTTGTAAAACGTTACATTTTCCAAAATGTTCTGAGGGAAAAAGAACATTTTCCTCATGTGGCTCCCTTATTCACATTTTTTCTAAAATGAATAGATATTTTTTGCTATCCTCTTTGCCTCTTTGTCTCAATCAAACTTAGGAGTGTTTGATTACAATCATCTACAGGCTGTGATATTTCTGCATGATATCTTATGGCGGTGTAGGGCCAATGAGTCTCCAGGGCCTCAGAGGTTTGATAGTGTTAAGGCTACTATGAGTAAAAGGAACCTGCCACTGTAATAATCCCAATTTCATAACAGTTTAGGCAACTTGTCTTATTAGTGTTCCTTTCAGTCATAGTCAAAATGTAAAACTACAGCACTATTTAAAAGGTACCCATGGTTTCATACTGGGTTCACATTTGTCATGGAGAGAACATTTTTTTATTTCATATGCAACAAATGCTACTTGAGCACCTACTATGTGCCTGACAGTCTGCTTAAAATTATGAAACAAAAGTAATGGGAACAATAATTACCACCAGTTGAGGCCCTATTACATGCCAGATACAGGGCTACATGCATAATGAATTTAATCCTCACAGCGACGAGAAGTAGATTTTCTTGTCCCCATTTGCTGGAAGAGGAAATGAGACATTACAAAGTTAAGTAACTTGTGCCAGTTCACCATTCAACAAATATTTATTTATTTATTTTATTTTTAATTAACACATTGTAATTGTATGTATTTATGGCCTAAAATTTGATGTTTAGACACATGTATATGTTGTGTAATGGTCAAATCAGGGTTTAGCATATCCATCATCACCGCATGCATTTATCATTTCTTTATGGTGAAAACATTAAAAACCCTCTTCCAGCTGTTTTGTAATATACCTTACTGTTAACCATCTTCACCCTACTGTGCAATAGAGCCCCCCAAATTATTCCTCCTAATTGTAACTTTCGACAAATATTTATTGATTATGTAAGTCAGATATCAGATGCTACCTTCCTCTCTCTGGAGATCTAGGTAAGATGAACCACTCAAGTATGAACTACTCAATTATGCAGCTTCTGAAATCCTTGTGCCTTCCCCAATTTTTCTACTAATTTCCTTGGTTTTCTTTATCTCTTGGGTTTGAGCTATTACTCACCCCAAATGTTAAACTCCACCCTTTCCAGATTTTCACAACAAAATCCCCTACCTCAAGCATTCATGTCATTTGCAGACTTTTGGAATGTTTTGAGGGGCTCTCTTGAAGGGGCTTATGTTATGTTACCTATGATCTTCCATTTGTTCATTTCTTCTCTCTCTCTCTGTCTTTCTCTCTTTCTCTTCCTTTAGGACTCTGCAGATTTTTGTCCCTTTCTTTTACAGAGCTCTTCTGCTCTTCACAGTTCCAAGGGTCAAACTTACATACTAAATTCATTATGATGTTCTGCAGAACCAGAGATCTTCCATTTCACAAGCTCCATGCTTCTTAGAAGGATGGCCTAATTATACAAACAATGTAGAGGCCTAAGTTCCTAAAGTCCTAATTGAGTGTTAAGCCTTGAGAAATACTTAAATACAAATACCATCTAACCACCTATGCATTTTTTCTTTAGTTCGACACCCTCACTAAACAAAATATAGGGCCTAATACTGAATCTTAGGCAATAAACTATAATTTTTAAAAATAAGAGGAGGGGAAAAATAAAATATAAAATACCATATATTTTAATCTTTGTAAATTTATGTTTTTATGTCCATTGTTGCAGAAGTTGGCAGGTTTTTTTCTGTATGCCAGATAGTAAATACTTTTGACTTTGTGATCCATACATTCTCAGCAACTGCTCACCTCTTTTTTGTACAGTGACAGCAGCCGTATACAATACATAAATAAATGGGTGGGGCTGTGTTTCAATAAATCTTTAAACACTGAAATTTAATTTTACATAATTTTCACATCATAAAATATTAATCTTTTGATGTTTTTCAACCATTAAAAAATATAAAAGCCTTTCTTTGCTTCATACAAAAACTGACCACAAGGGCTGTAGTTTGCCAACCCCTGTATCATGATATTTTTTGTAGTTGTGGCAGAAACACCACTGTTGTCACATTCTGCTGCCCTGCCCTAGCTAAATCTCAGAGAGTTCATTTACCTTCTAGAATAAAATTATATTCCTCCCACTAAGTACAACAAAGCCCGTTATTTCTAACTTCTTCCTCTCATCTCAAAAATGCAATGTAATCTGGCTGGGCTGAGTGGCTCACACCTGTAATCCCGGCACTTTGGGAGGCCAAGGTGGGTGGATCACCTGAGGTCAGGAGTTCGAGAAGAGCCTGGGCAACATGGTGAAACCTCGTCTCTACTAAAAATACAAAATTAGCCAGGTGTGGTGGCACATGCCTGTAGTCCTAGCTACTTGGGAGGCTGAGGCAGGAGTATTGCTTGAACCTGGGAGGTGGAGGTTGCAGTGAACGGAGATCGCACTATTGCACTCCAGCCTGGGCAACAAGAGCAGAACTCCATCTCAAAAAAATAAAAAACAAAAAACAAACAAACAAATGCAATATAATCGTTTTTCTGAGGAAATCGATTTTGGAGTAATGGTCTAATTAGGATGTACTCTTCTTTGGGCCAGTGTCTCAAACCTTAAAATTTTCAGAGTTTTTTTTAATATGCTGATGTCAACTGTGACTCTTCAAGAGGATGACACAATATGCAGTGGTTCCTAACTTACTAATACTAGGCACAGAACTCTCCAGGCATCTCAAGGAACTAATACAGTAAGTCCTCACTTAACATTGTCACTAGGCTCCTGGAAACTGCAACTTTATGTGAAATGATGTATAAGAAAACTAATTTTACCATAGGCTAATTGATATAAACAAGAGTTAAGTTCCTAGGCATATTTCTGGTCACAAAAACGTTACTAAACTTCTAAATAAAGATTAAAAACACATCTAATCTTAAACGTTGAAATTAATGTGAGCTATATGTACACTTAAGAAGGATGAATAAAAACAAGTAAGATAATTATTTACCCAATTTTTTATGACTCAGTGAGTGACAGCAGTTGTAGTCATGGTGAGTTAAATCAAGGAATAAATTTCTTCAAAGTGAAAATTGTAAGGAGCACTTCCGAGCACCACACATTCAAAAACAAACAATAACAAACGTAGTGGACTTGCTGAGCATTTCGTTCTGCGTCGCTTATTATCATTTGTATGATTAGCATAGACTTCACGCATTTTTATTTTATAATAATTTGTATTCATTCACTTATTCCTTTTCCAGCTTTCTTATTCTAGTTCAGGGTCAAGGGTGGCCCAGAACACAACCCAGTAGCTCAGGGCACAAGGCAGGCACCACACTGGACAGGTGCACACTTAAACTCACAGCCACACTCAGTCAGACTGAGACCATTTACACATGCCAGTTCACCTACAGTGCACGTCGCTGGGATGTGGGAGGAAATGGAGTATCCAGAGAAAACCCATGCAGACATGAGGAGAACATGCAAATGCCACACAGATGGTGGCCCCAGCCTGGGATTGATTTGTTTATTTCTCATCAGTGTTAAACAAAACTACATTATTTGAGGATCTGCTATATTCTCAAATCCAGATGCCTGCTACTCAAAGTGTGGTCCATGGACCAGAGACATCAATGTCACCTGAGAATTCGTTAAAAATAAAGACTCTCAGTCCACAGGATAGACCCACTGAGTCAGAATCTTCATTCTAATATGATCCCCAGGTGTTTTGAATGCACGTTACATTTTAAAAACAATACTGTAGACCACAGTTTTACAAACAATGCTGTAATTTAAGCTAAAAGAAAAACATAGATCCAGAAGCTAAAATTAATCCTAACATGAATTACTAGAAATTTTGGTTACTATGAAAGTCAAACCCACTTCCCCGGGTTAAAGTTGAGTAACTCAATCGAGTTACCTACATGTTTTACTTCTTCCTGTCTCATTACCTTTAGATGTTTGCTTTTATTTATCTTTTGTTTTCGCGGGGTTGGTGAAGCAGGAGAGAGATGAGATAATTGAAAAATAAACTTATGAAAGATATAGCCATTGAATTTGTGTTCTGAATGTCTCCAAAACCTCATAGAAACATCATCATTTGGAGCCAGAAATGTAAACCAGAAAAAAACCCTTTGTTTTTATTTCGATTATTAACGGAAATTCGAATTTTTGGCATCATCATCTTTTAATATCTCTATGATTCTTTCGAGTAGCATCTAAATCTTAGTTATTGTTTACATGGCTATGTGGCAGGAAAACACTGGGGCCTGAATCTTTGTGATTGTTTTTATTACTTTGCATGAATATGATGATCTCCCATGTAAAGGCTGTAGCATGTGTTCTTCGCCACAAGTTTGCACATTGAGGTAGGAGTAATGGCTACATTTGCTGTTTACTGAAGTAGATTTCTAAGGGCCTTGCATAAAATTTACAACACGAGCTCTGCCTTCCAGACGTATATTTGTTTAAAACTCCCATGATCCATGGCCAAATAGTTTTCTTATATTTGTAAGCATTTATTATGAATAACAGCTGTGGAGTTGTTCTGTACATCACTATTGGCAGATACTGTTTGGAAACCAAATGAGATTCTTAAATGGGTTCATATAAATTCTTACTGTCTACTGCCAGTTCAAATGGCTAAGGAACTTCTCTATAATTATTCTCAAGCCCCTCCTTTGTTGTTACTTTTATTAAATTGCACCATCTGATAAGAAATATGTTCCTTATTTTCTAGTTATAACTCTGATCTGTCATTCTCTCTCTCTGTCACCTCCGAAAGAGTAATCTAGTTTTAAAAGGTGGACATGAGGCTCAATTGAAAATAACATTTACATTGTCTCTATTTGCAAAAATCTTTCCAACTTCCAATTTGCTGGTCCCTTATGTAAAACAGTTGAGGACATAAAATTAAAAAGTCGTAAGACTCCCAGTGGACCAGATCCTCATTCTCCTCAGAGAAAGCTGGTGCAGGTATTCTACATTCAAGAGATGTGTGGGCCATGGAGCAGAACAAGCATCGGGATCGCATATGTAGTTAACATGAATGGATACACATAATAAAAATATTTCTGCACTCACTGTCCACTCACTGGCAGTGAGAAGACCCTAGCTTTAGAGATAATTCTTTTATGCACCTCTAGTGCAATCATAGCCTGTGAACAGTTGAATCTAATTGTAGTCTATTGCAGAATACTAAGTGAGGCTTGTTCTTTAGCACAATGCCTGGCCCATAGAAATAACTGATTAATTGTTCATTAAATAAATGAATGGTCAGTTGTGTCAAATTCTATAAAAGGCTCAGCAAAATCATAGAAAAGTGTACATTGGCTTTGCAAAACAAAGATGATGGTAGGCATGGTGATAGCCAGGCCAGAAGTGACTGTGGGTTGAGGAGTGCATGGCAGTCAGGCAGTGAGGAAGGCCCGTGTGGTGGTCAGGTCTGTAAGTAGCTTGACTAAAGAAGACTTAGTGGGCCAGGCACAGTGGCTCACGCCTGTAATCCCAGCACTTTGGGAGGCCGAGGCAGGCGAATCACGAGGTCAGGAGTTTAAGACCAGCCTGGCCAACATGGTGAAACCCCGTCTCTACTAAAAATACAAAAAATTAGCTGGGCGTAGTAGTGGGTGCCTGTAATCCCAGCTACTCGGGAGGCTGAGGCAGGAGAATCGCTTGAACCTGGGAGGCAGAGGTTGCAGTGAGCCGAGATGGGGCCACTGAACTCCAGCCCTGGTAACAGAGAGAGACTCCATCTCAAAAAACAAACAAACAAACAAAGACTAGTGACAGTTGTGTGGTGAGGGGAGGTGACAAGGAAATGCTTTCAGTTTAGTTTAGTTTTGGGGTTTTTGTGTGTGTTTGCTTTTCTTTGTTTCTTAAGTTGGAAGAAATATAAGGATAGTTATAGGCTGAAGGGAAAGAGCAAGGGAGGAGAGAAGGGGGATGGAGATGTTAGATACTGTGGGGAGGGAAGTATTCCCTGAGCAGGATTCAGGAGGGGGCAAAAGCAGTTAAGATCCACAGCACAGGTGGAGACATTGACCAGGGGGACATTCAGCAAAACATTCTTTAATGAAGCATAAGAATGATAAATTCAGAGTCAAGTGTCATAGGTAATGCTAATAGTGTTTTATGCACATTAATACTCATTGGTATTTCTGTGCCCTTTTTTAATGTTTGCAGGGAGCTTGCATTTATTATTTTTTACTCTGTAGTTACTTATTGAGAAAGGACAGATTTGAGTTAAAAAGAAAGTCCCTACTCTGAAAGTATCATAGATCGAATAAAGGGCTGAATGAGGAATCAAAAGACCTGGGTTCTAATTTCAGCAGGAATATATATGCCTCCGGGTCTATGGAAATAATTTGCCTTTATGAATTATACACATTTATAAAATATTTAAGAAGTATGATCAAGAACACGTGTTGACTAAGTATGAGTAGAAAAGGAAAGGAAAGAACCAAAAATGACCCTTAGGTTTCTAATTGTGAATAACTGAGTGGATGGTAGGAATACTAGAGAGAAAATAATTATACCGGATTATTAGAATCCATTGAAATATTGAATATATTTCAATCTATTGAACCAATATTCAACCTATATTCAGTCTATATGTAAGCTGAACACATTCTACAAAAGACATTAATGTTAAGAAACTGATACATAATGTTCCCTGTAAATATGGAATTTATAGAATAAACTATAATTAGCTAAAATGGGGAGCCAAACTATAGTACAGTCTTGTAGCTTGTGAGTTAAATGGAAGAAAAATGAAATAACTTTACTGTTAACTTAAAAGAGGTGGCAGAAATAGATATACAGGATTTTTAACAATTAAATTTTCCTGTATTCTTATTTATCCTGAGGTGCCATTGGTCTTGTTATTTAACTTACCCATTATTTCTTCTGAAACAATTGCATTACAGTAATTGTAGATAAATATAACCCTGGAGTACTATAGATCACTGAAATGTTGGTTGCTTTAAGCAAAAAGAAGTATCAAATCAAGTCAGTTTCTAGATTGCTGTTCTCCTGGGCACTGATTCATCGTTCAGAGCTGTCAAATGGTCTTGTCACTCCCAAGCTTCTGACATGCAGGACTAATTGTTTGCAGCCCAAGGCGTTGCATGTCCCACTTTTAAAGGCATCAAGGCAAGCATTTTCTGAATTATCTGATCACTCTAGTTCTTCTATATTAATGGCATAATAATTGTGTTTTAAATTCCATTGTTTTATATTAGTAATTCTCACTCACCTGCTGGGGTTTAATCAAGTACTCACTCTACCCACAGATAATTCAGATTATTTCAGACCATCTGTCTTAGTGAGTTTGAGTACATTTTTAAGTTACCTGTATTTCTGATTACTTTTTTTAAAGATCTTAAAGAGCATCTTGATCCTTGGTCCAAATCTTTCACAAGTCTGGATATATGAAGCCTTTCCAAATTTCCCATGCTATCACCGACCAGGCCACCTTAAAAATCCTAGAAAACTCATCTGAATGACTCCTTTGTCACTGCTTCTGCTGCCTAGTATTGTTTACAATTTTATATTGTTTACTCTTTCTAACTAGATTGAAGAACCCTGAAGGCAGAAACTCTTTTATATTTTTTTACATTCCCTGTGCATGGATAATGCTCTGTATATTAAAAAAATAAATGATGAAATATATACTGATAATAAAGTATGATAGCATTGTGATTGAGAAAGGCGTCGGAAGGTAAGCTGTCTGGCTTTAAATCTTAGTTTTGCTGCTTAAGAGCTACAAGACTTTGGGCAATTTCTATAACCTCCCTGCTCCTCAATTTCCTCATCTGTTAAACAGGAATAATACTGTACCTATTCATAGGATTGTTAGAGGAATAAATGAGTTAATATACATCAAGCATTTAGATCAAATGCTTGCCATATAGAAAGCACCATGTAAGTGCTTGCTTGATGGCAATAATGAGCTCTATTTGGCACTTTAGAGCTTAATTTATTCAATAAATGTGACACTGTTATATGTAATGTATATTAACCAGTGTTTCCTCCAGAAAAAGAGATCAGGAGTGTTGTCCCCACTTTGATTTTTCTAGAATCAATTACGATTTTCCCAAGACATTTATGAATAGACTAACCTTGATAGTAGGACATCAGGACAGCCTGATTAGCTGCTTGGTGACATGTTGGGTGATAAGGTCATGGTAGATATTCACCAAATGAATACCATTTTAAATAAAGAAGCCTAAAGACTTTTAGAGGTTCCATATATGAATAATGTACAGGCTAAGTCAATGCCCAGACACAATGATAATAAATGTTGTAAAATTTTTCAAATTCACCTTTAGTAGTACCATTACTGCTACTTCTGCAATACGGCAGATCAACATGATTATTCTAGGAAAGAGAGGAAAATGGAGAGAGAAGGAAAGGACAGAAAATATATAGGGCAAAAATGTTTAAAAGAACTATATGAGATCATGTTGAAATAATGCAAAGGTAAAAACATATCAATTTTCTTCTCCCTCTCATCATAACATCCAAAGTAAAAGATAATGTTTAGATGTATGACTATGCTAGTATTTATAAGAAGGAGAGAACAGGAGGAAATAAGGAGATGAGAAAATGAAATATTAAAACAAAACATGGAGTGCAATACCCATAACATTCAGCAAAGAAATAGTCTTGACAGTTTTAGGTTTTGATATTACATTTTTAAAATACATTCTGTGGTCAAATATACTTTTAAGAACCGCAATTGAAAGATTATTGCAGTGAGAACTTTTAAAATTCTTCCTTATAAGCTTACTTTGTTTTATCTATCATAAAAGTAACGTTACTTTCAACTAATATGTTATTGAAGTAATATATATTCAATGAGTAAAACTTTGAATAAAGTGCTCATGCATGTATGTATACACACACACACACACACACACACACACACACACACACACACAGAAACTATAAGCCCATTACATTTATCTAACCTTTATATACCATTTTGGTGGTTGCCTTTTGGCATTTTGGGCTTTTGTTTATTTGGGTATGCAACTATGAAATATTACACAAATGCTATTGCAGAGGGGATTTAAATGTTTCATATACTATTTGTTTTTAAAACATTATTTTTAAAAATGAAGCTATTTAAGAGAAGCATTTTTTGTGCCTCAAAACAATGTAGATAGATAGATGGAGAGAGAAGTGGATGGATATACAGATAGAAATATCTCCAGCCATCCTTTTCACAGTGCATAAATAAAATAATTCTTTGATGGCTGGCTAAGGTTACTACCCCAGAACTTGAAGCTGTTTTCATCTCTGTGTGTTCCAGTGAAGTCAATAATTGTCCACTGCATGTCCAGGACTGGATTCCAGCAAAGGGAGAAATGGCAGAAGAATTTTGACAAACTGAAGGGATCTACCCCTCATAGACAGGAACAGGGAACATTTGTTTTCTGCGCAAGTGTATTGTTAGCCTTCTAGAATAGCCTGCCAGCTTAAAGAATGCAGCTGGAGCTAGCTCCCTAGAATGTTCATACTGTTTGTATCAGCTAACCAGCTCCCAAGCAGTACTTTCATATTGTAACTCCTCTAATGAAGAATAATTGTCAGTCATTGGTCTTCCCAAATTCTAGGACAGTTGCTTCACATGTAAAGGAATTTCAGTTAAAGGACACTAGGAAAGTAAAAAATGAAACTCTCTGTTAAGTGCCAACATGAAAGATAGCACATCTATGTTATGAAATCCAAAATAAGTAACTTGGAAATGTATATATGCACACAAAAGACTAGAAAGAAATTCATCGTAATGTAAAAAGAGGTTCTCTCTAGATGGTGGGATTATAAATGACTTTGGTTTTCTTCTTTATACATTTCTGTTTGTTGCAGAAAGAACATATTGCAGAAAAACAGAATACTTATTTTAATCAATAATCTAGAGAAGAAAAGAAATGAAGATGTAATTAATCATAAGGTTAGTGTTATTTACCTACACTTAGAAATCAACTAAAATCTTTGCCTCAGAATCCTAAAATTCAAAGTTCATACCAAGAAAAAAATGGAAGAGACAAACCAAAATTGACTTAAAAACAGCATACTGTGATTTTAGAAAAGGCTTTTTTTAGTACTTTAAAAAAATGTAAACCATTTTAGTCAGGTCTTAGCTAAGCCAGTAACTCAATTCCTGAAGCTCTTGGTTTATTAGTATTGTACACCTCGGCCAGATTAACACTTGTGAAAATTTTCAATTTATTGCCACTTATTTGAAATAAGTTGCCTTGGATTTTTGAGAGATGAGAGACAGAGAGAAAACACCTCCCAAGGGTAAAAAGTTATCTAACAAAAGACAGCTTTTCCATAAAATACTATGCATTTACTGGAAGTAACAGAAAGTAATGCTTTTTGGAAAATGGTCCCCAAAATAAGAAAAAATTAAACATTAAAATAAAGAATCCTAAAATAATCCTAAAAAAGTTCTAACTGGAAAAATCATTAGGAAATTAACAGTTTAATAAAATCAAACTGTTAATATTTCTGTGTATCCGTTTCTCTCTATCTGCATTGTTTTGAGGCACAAAAAATGCTTCTCCTAAATAGCTTTATTTTTTAAAATAAAGAAAGCTTTATAAACAAATATATCGGTGGCTGGGCGCAGTGGCTCACGCCTGTAATCCCAGCACTTTGAGAGGCCGAGGCGGGCGGATCACAAGGTCAGGAGATCAAGACCATCCTGGCTAACACGGTGAAACCCCGTCTGTACTAAAAATACAAAAAATTAGCTGGGTGTGGTGGCGGGCACCTGTAGTCCCAGCTACTCGGGAGGCTGAGGCAGGAAAATGGCGTGAACCCGGGAGGCAGAGTTTGCAGTGAGCCGAGATGGTGCCACTGCACTCCAGCCTGGGCGACAGAGCAAGACTCTGTCTCAAAGAAAAAAATATATCATTAATATAATAGATTTCAGTCTTTCTGAATAGTTTATGCTTTTTTAAACAGAATCTTGTAAACTGCATACAGTAAGTAATTTTCAACTGCATTAATTCTCCTAGAGTTATCAGTGTCTGGCAGCTTTTCTTTTTTATATTGTTTCATTGTCGCTATTGTCTTTAGTTTTCTTGATCCAATCTATATCAAATTTAAGTTAAATTTGTTCTTCAGTTGTTCTCAAAATGAGCCTTCTTCAGGGAAGAATGAAGGTAAAACCAGATCAGATTCTTCTTGTATTGCTGTGATCAGATTTATCTTCTGACCCAATATATTTTAAGTCTAATTATTTAAAGTTCAATTTAGATGGTTTAGCAAGCCATGAATTAACCCTGAATGCCTCGAGTTTGAATTTTCATTTGCACCCTTCATTTTGCCTGTGAAATATCTTAGCAAGAAAAAAAGCCAAAGGCTCACCCCAGCAAGGGGAAGACAGCTAGGTTAGAAGATTCAATTTGGAAGTCTTAGCCCAAGGGGTAGGTAAGGTCCCCAAAGGCAATACAGGAGATGGTAAAAATGTTCTACTGTTGGACAGAAGAGTCTGCCCAGCCTCTGCTCTCCTCACACTCAGAAATCAGAATTTCCTGCACTTTTTTTTGAGACAGGGTCTCACTTTGTCCCTTAGGCTGGAATGCAGTGAAGCAATCACAGCTGACTGCAGCCTCCAACTCCCAGGCTCAAGCAATTCTCCCACCTCAGCCTCCCAAGAAGCTGGGACTACAGGGTGAGCCACCATGCCCAGCTAATTGTTTTATTTTTGTAGAGCTGGGCTCTTGTTATGTTGCCCAGGCTTTTGTTGAACTCCTGGGCTCAGGCAATTTCCCCACCTCAGCCTCCCAAAGGGCTGGGATTATGAGTGTGAGCCACTGAACCTGGCCTCCTGTACTCTTTGAGGGATTTTCATAACATATATTACGGCAGGAATTAAAGATGGTATCTACAAGCTGTTGTTCCACTAATTCTCACAAGGAGCACATTTTCTTTGAGAAACCAAGGAAAACTGGATGATCATAAAGTTGCTATGAAAGGCTGACTGGAGTCCGTCCTGAGGGCTATGCAGCATTTGCTTCATGTCCACCCCAACAGTGCTTTCATGTGTGCTTAGTTCTCTGCATTCATGCCTGGAGTCCAGCTTCCACATCCGTAAGAGATTGTCAGCTCTAAAGATCTGAGGACATAATGGAGGCAAGCTGCATAGATATGTACCTCACACTGAGCCAGGGCACTTCAGTCCCGACCTCTCCTGTGGAGGGATGGCCAGCTGGAAAGTGGTCACATCTACCAAGCACTACATGGCTCATCTGTCCTGCTTTCCCTCCTGATTACAAACAGATTTTGGGCATCTCTGTGTGGGTCCTAGTCTCTCTAAACCCACACTAGCACTTCAGTAAAACTGTTGTATCTTTATAACGCTTTTTAAAGGCAGAGTTTTCAGGGATTTTTTTTTTTCTTTGAGTAGTGCATGTATTGAAATAGCCGTTTAGCTTTGCCCAGTAATAAATAACTCTGTAAAAAAGAAACACTTAAGATGGATATTCTGTAAACTTCAGAATTATTGTGAAATTGCATTTTTATCTCCTATTTTTAGAGCCCATTTGATTTATCCCAGCTTGGCATATTAGAATAGACATGGGGTACACAAACAGCCTGATAGTTAAAATTTTGTCTGCATGTGAATCTCCTCTGGCTTCCTTCTCTGCCAGGAAAATTTTTCCTGTTGTCAGTCAACTGATCCTAATATCTTCTTGGAACAGAGCAAACATTTTAAAGTGCAGAGTAAAAGTCCTCCCCCAGCCCTAGGGAGAAAACTTTTTTTTTCCTTGAGCTGTTGATGTCTTTAAGAGAAATGACTTTAGTTGGTTCAGTCAGATGATAGAGGACACAGTTAACTCCATATAAGGAAAATGTTTGAATGCCAGTACCATTGATTTCAAGTAAGGTTTATGTGGGTAACATTGTTTAAGAAGATAATCTGAGTCATAAATTGCATAAGGGGTAACTCCCTCTTAAGCAACAGCAAAAGAGTAGTTTTGTAGTTTTGAACTTTGTTTTGAAAAAATCCTATATTAATAAACATTTTGAAATATGCTGTCTACTTAGGTAGGAATGTGGACCTCCTGACCATGGACTATATGGCTTTTAATTAACTGCTGTTTCCAATTCTTTTTAGAGTTTCAGTCAGAATTAGTTATTCTGAGCCTAAAAAATAAAATGAAGACACAAATTTCTCTTAAACCCTATTAAAGGGTCTTCTTTTAAGGCAGACAAAACAAGTCTTCTTAAGACAGCCTTATGGTAATTGATCCAGAGTCATTTAGTTTATTTCAACAATTATTCCAGCACACATTTTTTTTAACTATTGGCTAAACATAAATTGTTAACATGATAGAAAACAGTCACCAAGGGGAGTACTTACAAACCAGAACACAGTAGTGATGGTCACAGAAAGAGACTTTTTTAAAAATCAAAATTAAGAATGTCTCTAAAACTCTTCATTGATCTTATAATTTAGAAAAAATGAAGTATATGTGAGAGATGACTCATGGGCTGGATAGGAAAGTTGTGGACACTGGGCAGAGGTAGGGAAACAATCTCAGGGAAGAGGAATATTGGGTAGAAAAAATAAAATCCCTTTTAACTTTTTAAAAGTTATTATCAATTAGGGTTAAAATGAACAAAATATTTTGGATCAATTTACATAAAGGCATTGAAAGGTCTCCACAATGAGACTATAGAATTACCTTATTTCGGAAGTAATCAAGGTAATATTTTATTTGAAAAGTGTTTGGGCAATAATAGCTTTTATTAGTCAGGGTTCTCCTGAGAAACAGAACCAATGGGATATGTAGATAGAGATATAAATATATTTATACATACATACAGAGAGAGAGAGAGACAGACAGACAGACAGCTCATATGATTTTGGAGGCTAGAAAGTCTGAAATGCCAAGAGGCTGGAAATTCAGGTAAAAGTTGATATTGCAGTCTTGAGTCTAAAATCTGCTGTGCAGGCCAGCTGGTGGGAAACTCAGGCAGAGTTTCCATGCTGCAGTTTCAAGGCAGAGCTGGAGTTTCAAGCAAGGCATGCTGCAGTTTCAAGGCAGAGTTGCTCCTTCCTCAGGAAACGTCATTCTTTAATCTGAAGGCCAACTAATTGGGTGAGGCCCTCTTACATTATAGAGGGTAATCTGCTCTACTCAAAGTCTACTGATTATAATCGCTAATCATATCTAAAAGCATCGATACAATCAACACGTCACATTAACATCTAGACTTGTATTTGACCAAACAACTGAGCACTGTAGCCTAGCCAAGTTGATACGTAATATTAACTATCACACGTAAAATTAACCACCATAATACCTTTAGAGACTATCCTCACTTTTGTACCTTTTCGTTTTTCATAGTGTCTGGAAGGAATAAGTTTCTGAAAATAAGTGTATTAAGTAGAATGTCAAATCTTATATGTATTCCTGAGATTTTGTCACTTAGTGTGTGCCTGTGTGCTAAAGTTTGTGCCATATGCTCAATATTATTGATATGTGTTTTTAAATTACACTTCTAAGGCACGTATATGCTGCCACAACATTTTTCCTGCAACTTTCCAAAGAAATATAATCTGCACATTTCAAACACTATAGTTGAATCTGCCTCGAATGATAACATTTAATAAAACTTCACTCCAGATTCTGAATCATATAGCTGGTATCTAAGAGGAGGAAGGCCTGAAACATAAAAGAAATGAATGATCTATTAGTATATGTGACTTCAGTAATATAGTCATTGATCTTTTGCCCTTTGTTTTAACACTATCAAGATTCAAAAATAAATATGAAAAATTCCATCCAAGTCATTTGCATTGATTTTCAAAAATGACTGCTTATAAATTTTAATTGCTTTGTTTTTGTTTCTTTTTTTTTTTTTAGGCAGGATCTAGCTCTCTTCACCAAGGCTGGCATGCAGTGGTATAATCATGACTCACTGCAGCCTCAAACTCCGAGGCCCACACAATCCTCCCACTTCAGCCTCTCTAGTAGCTGGGACTAACGGCATGTGCCGCCACACTAATTTTTTTTTATATTTTGCAGAGACGAGTGTCTTACTATGTTGCCAGGGCTGGTCTTGAACTCCTAGGCTCAAGCGATCTCCTGAAGGTGTGAGCCACTGCACCTGGCCTTCGTTTTATTTTTTGTTTTCACTTATGGATATGTTTCCAAAGTGAGTCATTCCATTGGTTGAGTGATTGGTTGCTTGATTTTTCAACTCAAATTAAATACTTTATGTATCAAGACAAGAAAAAAAAAACCTGTAAATATAAATGGGAATTTAAAGAATGATTTTGAAAAATGATTCTAGACTTTAATTGGTTTTATTGAAAGTACCATATCTTAATAAGTATAAACAATTTCACTAGCTTTTATAAAATAATATGATTTTCCCTCTCCAATATTTGCCTTTTGGTTGAAACTGGATGATAAATAGCATATGAAGAAAAGTCATCAAGAGCAATCATAATATAGACATTTAAATAAGCCAGACTATCTAATTTGTAATTTAAGAAATGGAGATAAGTAGTTTAATAAAAATGGTACCACAAGATCAGAATAATAAGTTTAAATCATTTAAATAATTAATAAAATTAATAATAGCAGCAATTTAAATGTCTATTTAACTTTTGTTAACATATATTAAAACCTCATTTATAGGTATTCACTCTTATATCTCTATTGTACTCAAAGCCCTACAAATAACAGCATTCTCTTTCTTTGCTAAGTTTGTAAATACTTGTTTTACTTGAAAACATACACAAAGAAATTTCTACCTATATCCTTAAGGATTATTTCATTTTCTTCGTACTTTGACATTCTTTTTTCTTTTTTAGCAATTTGGTTTCTATGACTGCTATACAAAATTGTGAAAACTAAATAGCTTAAAACAACAAAAATTTATTATAATTCTATGGGTCAGAAGTCTGAAATGAGTCTCACTAAGCTAAAATCAAGGTGTTGGCTGGCAGGCCTACATGCCTCCAGGAGGTTCTAGACAAGAATCCAAATTCCTGCCTTTTCAAGCTTAAAAGCCACCCACATTCCTTGGCTCAGGGTCCCATTCCTCCATCTTCAGCTAGCAACATCAGGCCAAGTCCTTCTCACATTGCTATCCTTCTGGTCTTTCTCTTCTGCCTCCCTCCTGTACTTATAAGGACTCGTGTGATTAGATTGGTCTGACCTGGACAATCAAGATAATCTCCCCATCCCAAGGCCAATTGATTAGCAACCTTAATTCCTATTTGCCATGTGACCTAATATAGTAACACGTTCCAGGGTTTAGGACATGGACATCTTTGTTGGGGGTCATTATTCTGCCTTTTAAATTAATAATTCTGCCCTAGAAATTAATTATTCTTGAAGCTAGGTGATAGGTAGATAAGCGTTCCTTGTACTAGTCTATCAACTTTTATAAATTTTAACTCTTCCAAAATAAAAAGGTAAAACATAAATAAATTTAGGGTTCTATATAACCCAAGGAGTTATGTCTAAAAGAAAAAATGTAATATTCCAACTTCATTTATGACCTTATTAGTATTCAACATCTTAGGAAATTTTCACATTTATTTCTAGTAAGCTCTCTGAAAAGTGATAAATAATACAACAATTTTAAAACTTAGAAGTGTGAAACATAAGCATACATTTTGCCTCCAACAAAAAGTCCTTCCTCAGATGTTATCATGTAGCTGATAACCCCACAAAGTGGTTTAAAACAATTTTTTTAAACACTTGTTCTTAGAACTTTTATGTTCAGAGAGCTCCATATCATGTGATCCAAGTACTCTCTACACATGACTTTCCTGCCAAATGATATCCACACTCTTACTGAACTTCTCTTGGAGTGGGGAATAGGGGTCAAGCCTTCTAAGGTAATTTCAACTTTGCATAGCTCTATGACTGTTAAGATGTTATTCCACCTATATGGCTTTGATGAATGAGTGTAGTACTACATCTGCATAACAGCCTACAAAATATTTGGAAATAGCTCATATGTCACCCTGAAGCTGAATAGTCCCTCTAAACATTGGTGGCAACCTGAAATTCATGAAAAATGAAGACTGTGTCTCCAATAGAATGACTATGGAATGTTCTCTTAGAGATAAATTTGTCAAATCAAGAGAAAACTCCTCAACATGTTCATTTATCTGATAAATTGAATCACAGTACATTGAGGAAATCTAGAAATGTTACCCATGTTTCTCCAGAATCCAGCCCCACAGATTTTTCTGGGATTCTCATCATCCATAGAAAGGATATTTTAAATGGGTGATGAGCGAGTGCTTTTGTCCTGGGTTAATCCTAGATATAACTCTACATGTGTGAGTTATGAGCATAGACAACTGGACTAGGAGTTTGAGGGGAGCTCAAAGTAGCACAGCTGACTGAGTGGCTTTCTACATTCACTGATGGCCAACTGAATCTCTTTCAATTCACTGAGAACCAGATGAATCTCTGCTTCTGGAACTTGAAACTAAAGTTAATCCCTTTCCACAGATCAGCAGAATTTACCATCAATTTTACTTAAAAAATTTATTTAAATTTAAAACACATTTCAAAACAAATGCAGGTCCCACTTTTCACTTTTCTAATACCTAGTTTGACCAGATTTGCTGAGTAGCTAAAAAAAAAAAAAAAAAAAAAACCTGAAAGGAGGGAGACTATGGCCATATAAAATTTAAAGCTTATTTAACACATTTTATTATCTCAGAAAAAAACCCTGGTTCCAAAAAGACCTATAGAGCCAGAGCCATGTCACATGCCATTAGGTTTCCTTAGACAATAAGCATGGATTCTAGACAAGGTTAACATAGGTATGAAATGAGTGGGGGAAAAGTTGTGGGGACCCCACTGATAGGTAGGGAGACTCAGTTCTCGTCACCTTAAGACATAGCTAACTGCCTCAACTTCCACCAGTCAGGGCCTCATTCTGTTCAGCTGATTGAAAACGTAAACCAATAAAGTCCCTGGTTAAGACATTTTGCTCTCAGAGCTATTCAGTGATTTTTCTGAATTGAGATCCCTCCTCTTTAATGGCGTGTTGTAAACTTTTACTGACTCGGGGCACAGTACCTCCTGGTAGATTGTCATTTATTCCATTTTCAGAGAGGCTCACCTTCTGTGCCCCCAAATCATAGACTTACTAGGACACTTGACAGTTTACTTGAATCACACACAACCCACATGCCTGACCAATTATTAGTTTCTGTTCCTCAGGACAGTTTTCTCATAAGGAATTGGTGGCCTTTAGAGCTAGCTGTCGTGCTGCAGCCTCTCACCACACTATGGTACTTTTTACCACTTCATGCAAATATCTACCAGGAGCATTTTCAGATTATGTGCAGCTTCTATTAATTTCTGCTTCTGTGCACAGGAATTGGTTATTGGCCAAGAAACAAGCTCAATATAGACCTCTCTGGTCATACTATCCCTATTAATGTTTATACAAAAATAGAGTCAGATTACTGACACTAGAGTTGGCACTGCTTGAGACGATCTTTTAACAGAGCAGTTAACTTTTCCATAGTTTGTGTTCTGGCTCTATTCCTCTCTTCTTTTGAACTGGCTTCTAAATAATCTTATAAGTATGTCTGGATATATTCAATTAAGATCCCTTATAATAGAGACTATTTGGCTGATGTAATTTAAGTCCTGTAAACCCTTTTTTCTTTTTCTTTTTTTTTTTTTTTTTGAGACAGAGTCTCACTCTGTTGCCCAGGCTGGAGTGCAGTGGCGTGATTTCGGCTCACTGCAACCTCCACCTCCCAGGTTCAAGTGATTCTCCTGCCTGAGCCTCCCGAGTAGCTGGAATTATAGGCATGTGCCATCATGCCCGACTAATTTTTGTATTTTTAGTAGAGACAGAGTTTCACCATGTTGGCCAGGCTGGTCTCGAACTCCTGACCTCAAGTGATCCACCCACCTCGGCCTCCCAAAGTGCTGGGATTACAGACGTGAACCACTGCGCCCAACCTAAATCCTATAAACTTAAGAGCAGCCTGAATAATCAACTTCCCCCTCTAGCTAATCTACCAAAAGGAAGGGCTATACATCAAACATTCCCAAAACCAAAGTTAGCATATTTGTTAGGTGTCTGAATATTTTAATGGGTTTAAAAATAATGAGCCAACCAGCAAGTTCGCTTATTTAGTTAAACTGGTATAAATGCCACAGGTTATTTTGGCAGATATTCAAGCAGTAGAATTATTAAAGATAGACATTCCATGAGTGCCTTATTAAGATTGTGTTTTGGTTAAGGTGGGTATCTGGTTTTATCTCCTTTTTTTTTTTTTTTTTGTTGAGACAGAGTCTCATTCTGTCACCCAGGCTGGAGTGCAGTGGTGGGATCTCAGCTCACTGCAACCTCCACCTCAGCCTCCTGAGTAGCTGGGATTACAGGCATGGACCACCACACCCAGCTAATTTTGTATTTTTAGTAGAGACGTGGTTTCACCATGTTGGCCAGGCTGGTCTCGAACTCCTGGGCTCAAGCGATCCACCCGCCTTGGCCTTCCAAAGTGCTAGGATCACAGGCATGGGCCACCGTGCCTGACCTAGTGGCCTGGCCTTTATAATTTTTTTCAAGCTAAAATCATATCAAATGTGCTATGAGAAATAAGACGTTAGGACTTCTATTTTGCATCTATTCACTATTCATCTGATTAAATGACTTCGGAAATCATTATTGCAGAAAATCCTGGCCTTTCCAGTGGGTGCAGTTTCAGCTCACTCAGTGGGTAGGTTGGTCTTCTCTCCTGGTTTGGTTCAACTTCCACAGAAAGATGTAAAACAACACCAGTGTCTGCCGAGTTTCACTATGTCTACTCAGCTGGCCTTATTCCTAACTCCATTACATTTTCTTGTCTTTTCTCTTCTTTCACCCTCATTTTTATTCATTTTATGTAGGATTTTTGTCATTTTATGTAGGATTTTTGTGTCCTCCTTAAAGTCCTTTATGTAACAGATATTCAAAAACTGAGTGGATGGAGACAGAGATAGAAAAATGTGTCCTGTTTAAGAGTGAGCCTAAACCCTACCCAATAATGTACTTTAGTATTTCTTAAACTTCTGGTGGTCTTTCCAGCCTCATCTCTAGACATTTTCCACCATACCCTTCACACACCAACCTACCAAAGTGGTCACAACTTCCTAAGCAACCCCCTAAAGTTTTTCTTTGGGACAAGTTTCTTAACCATTTGGGGACTCAGTTTCTTATAAAAAAAAATGGGAATAATACCTACCTTATAGAGTGGTTGTAATGATTAAATACATTCATTTATGAGAAGTACCTAACATGGTGCCTGACGTAAAGTAAGTACATGGTATTGCAGTTGTTGTGGTAGTGGTGATCATATTTTTTCACAAGAGCATGGCTTTGCACATATATTTTCTTCAGCCTAAAATACTGCCTTCTCCACTTACCAAATTTGTATTTCCTTATCTCAGTGAGGCCCTTCCTAATCCCCACAGGGCAAGTTAGAGTCTTATCTGCACTTTAAAACATTTTATAGACCTTTATTATTGTACTTAGTACACTGTGCTCTATTGATGTCTGATGTCTTCATGTATTTATTTTCCCACTAGATTGTTAACACTGCAGTATATGGTCTCCTTAAGGTTATCCCTGACACTTAGCACAGAAAAGATCATGAATATATGTTAAGGAAGGAAGAGAAAGAGGAAGGGAAGAAGCAGAAGAAAGAAAAAGAAAGAAGGAGCAAGCAAATGAATGAATCTAATCTTCTGGCAGTTTCCTGTCTTCCATCATTCCTGGAAGATCCCCAACAGTGATGCATTGATCTCATTGACAAATTCTGTCAGTGCGCTGATTAACAGTTCCCAAGCTTATCACTCAGGGTATAAGTAACTGTGATTCTTCAAGATATTAATTCATTCACAGTGAATAATTTGCCTCTTATTTGATGATAATACCAACTATTGACAAAGCCAAAATTACTCAACTTGCCAAACAAAAAAACAAAATCACTTATTTAGAAAATGGCTCATCTAGGAAAGAAGCAGCTACTTTTGAAATTGACACACATGAGCCAAAATTTGCTTCTTTAGGAAAAAAAATATGCATTTCAATGGTTCACTTGGCTTCAGTGCCCAAGTTTTTATGTAGACAAAAGAAGTGGAAAATGAAGGATAAGTGAACACAGAGTAGGTAAGCACATTGATTTTCTTCATCACTTGCATTCTCTCTGATGATTTTCCCTGTCTCTATTTCCTAAATTATAAATGGAGCGTTCTTATTAATCAGGCTTGTGGAATTGGAAAAGGAATTCAGTCCAAAAAATAAAATTAATTGTAAACTGGAAACATTTTCTCACAAAAAGCAACAGTTTTTCTTCCTCGTCACAGCAAAGATCCTCTTTACAGACATCCTGTTTTTGAGATACTGCCCATTGGCAATAGAACTCGTAACTGAGTAAAATTTCCCCATTTTTATAAACCAGTATTTCAAGCTCTGAAAATGCTACAATATATAATTTTTGTCAGATATCCTGTTAGATAATCTTAATAGTAATAGGGGCCGCCACTATTTTTTTCTTCTTGAAAGCCTTTTACAGTCTGACTCCAGCAGCTATATATTCAGCCACATCACCCACCATTTAGACTTTTGATTTTACCCTCTCACCCCAATCTGCACCTTCTCCAGTCTTCCCTAGATCAGTGAAGGATATGACCACCCAGTCAATTACTCAAGTGAAAAATTTCAGAATTACCTTTGAGTCCTCTCTTTGACCCACTACATCCCATCCATCACCAAGCCCCTTGACACTGCTTCCATAACATCTGCCTAGTCTATCCATTTCAATCCATTCATACTACCACCTACCCACACCACTGTTGTCATTCAGCTGGGCTGCCACAGAAATTTCTATTTGGTTTCTTCTTGCTTGTCTATAGTTTCCACACAGAAACCAAAGACAAGAGCTTTGTTAAAACATAAATCAGATCACATCACTCCCCTGCTTAAAAACCTCCAGTGACCTTTTATTCCACTTAGAATAAAATCCATACTCTTGCCCCTGTGTCATCTGGCCTACGTGGAGTTCTTTGATCCTAGCCTTTACTGCCTTATCATCTCTCACTGTGCACCAGCCATACTGGCTTTCTTCATATTCTTCTTACAAACATTTTCATCTGAAAGTCTTAGTGCTAGCTATTCCTTCTGCCTATAATACTCTTCCCCTGAAATTTGCATGGCCACCATTTTTTTAAAATGTATTTTGTATTTTGCCCTTTAATTTTAATAAATAATTTAAAATATTTTAGAAGAAAATATTGAAAACATGCAAATTCCTTTTTTACATTTATTTACATTTACATTACAATTTTTATCTTTTATTATTGTGGATCCATATTAGTTGTACATATTTATGGGATACATGTGATATTTTGATACAATCATACAATGTCTAATAATCAGATCAGAGTAATTGGGATAGCCATCACCTCAAGCATTTATTTGTCTGTGTGTGTGTATGTGTGTGTGTGTGTGTGTGTGTAAGAACATTCCAATTCCACTCTTCTAGTTATTTTGAAAGATACAATAAATTATTGTTAACTATAGTTGCCTTATTTTGGTACCAAACACTACATCCTTTTATCTCACTATATTTTTGTACCCATTAGCGATCCCCTTTCTATCTCCCTGTCCCTACTACTCTCTTAGCTTCTGGTAACCACCATTCTATTCTCTGTCTCCATTAGTTCAACTTTTTTTTTTTTAGCTCCCACACATGAGTGAGAACATGCAATATTCGTTTTTCTGTGCCTGGCTTATTTCACTTAACATAATGGCCTCTAGTTCCAGTCATATTGTTGTAAATGACAGAATTCCATTATTTTTCATGGCTGAATAATATTCCATTGTATATCCATATCACCATTTTCTTTGTCTGTTCATCCATTGATGGACACTTAGATTGATTCCACCTTGGCTATTGTGAATAGTGCTGTAATAAAAATGGGAGTGCAGATATATTTTCGATATGGTGATTTTCTTTCTTTTTGGATTTTCTTTCTTTCAACAGGTGGGGTTGCTGGATCATATGATAGTTCTATTTTTAGCTTCCTACTGTTCTCCCTAATGACTGTGCTAAATTATATTCTCACCAACAGCATATGAGGGTTACCCTTCCTTGACATTCTCACCAGCATCCATTCTTGGCACAGCCACTATCTTTGTCATTCAGCTCTCAGCCTCAATGTATTCCCTAACTACCCTATATGAAGTAGCTTCTGGGTCACTGTCACTGTCACACCCTATATTGCATTTATCTGATATTTCTGGGAGTTTTTTTTTTGTATAGTTGTTTTCTGTCTTGTTTGCTGCTGAATTTCCTTATATCTAGAATAGTGTTTGGCTCACAATAAATATGTATGTAATTGAATAAATGAATCTTGCTTTCTCAACTTTATTCCCTGTCCACAATACTGAACAATATTTCTGTGGAGAATAATAAGACCAAAGACCAGAGGTAGATTGACTTTGTATGGAGACAGAAAGGCTAAAAAACAGTAAGAGAAAATGACCCGACTAGAGAGGAACATCCTTGTTGAAAGATAGTAAGAGACAAGTTAGTAAAATCTTAACATCAGACTCAGAACGTGGATCAAATCTGATAAGTTATAGAAGCCTCTTCCTAAACCTGGGGAAACACAGACTATAAACTCTATGATATCAGGGATGTTTGTTTTGGTCACTGTTATGAATCCAATACATAGGAGAGTACTGAAACACAGAAGGTGTTCAACAAATAGTTGAAGGCATAAATTAGTGAATAAGCATGATATAATCTGTAGGATGCTTTGTTTGGAAATAGTTTGAAAGATACAACAGAGATAGGAAGACTGTAGAATAGACTTTTCAAAATCTAGACCACAGATTATATTTAAGTGACTTATTAAAATTCAGTTTCCTGTGCCTTTCCTAAGACCTACTAAATAATCTAAGACTGGGGCCAAGAATCTGTATGTCATGAGTTTCCCAGGTCCTTATCTGCAAACTAAAGTTTGAGAATGACTGCCCTACAGGAGGAAAAATGATGGAAGTACTAAAGTGGGATCTATATTTGCGGGACTCAAGAGAACTTGCCAGAATTTTATGACGTACAGAAAAGAGTCAAAATGACTAAGTTTTCAATCTGGCAGGCAGAGAGAATAATGCCACCATTGGTAGAACATAGGAAACTCGTGCATTAGTATGAAAAGGTCTTCTCATTTTAAAAACTTATAAGGTAATAGATTTTCATCTTTTGGAAAACAGTGCGAAGGCATATGTAAAGGTGAAGTGTGAGACTAAGCTAGAAAAATTATGTGCTTCCAAAACCATGGAAGGTGCTGCACTATAATAAATAGCAAAGATATGGCCACTGTATTCTAGAGCATGAGGGTGCAAAGACAAATTAGTCTCATTTCTTATTGTCAAAATCTATATTAAAGGCATGTTACTCCTGTTTATTTTGTAGTGAACACATTCCATATGTCTCAGTAAATAGTTCTTTGTGCAATAGATCCTTGAAATTGGCTTCCTCCCAGCCATGAAACAGATATGGCATTGGAGCAATGCTAGAAAGCAAGAAAGGAATGCCAGAGATCTAATTTGAGGAAAGATCTGAATGCACATGTCTCTGGTAAACATCTTAGAAAGTTGTTCAGTTTTCCATGGTTCGGATTTTATTTATAATTCTTAGTCTTTAGAATATAGAATCCATACTTAGCAGATTTTTTTTAATGTAAAGATGAGCTGAGGCCAGTATATGCTACTCATGAGAAGAATTCTTTAAACGTGGCACTACTTTTGGCACATGTTAGCCTCTGCCTTTGTGTTATGGGAAACCTAACGTTTAGAATACCTCGTGAGTTGAATACCCAAAAGTAAACTATCCCTTCCCACCATGAAGCATAGATCTTTAATATATACTTACAGAATTTTCAACATAAAACCCCAAATTCTTCTTGTCAGTTTTCAGTTAACCACTGTCATATGAGAAAAGAAGTCAAAGGAGAGAGGCCCGCTGGTAGAAGTGAGTACTAGAACATGCCTACAACTACACTCGGGAGACTGCTTGCTTCCCTACAACCATTTTGGAAGCTCTGATTTTTTTATTTGAGTTCAGTGCAAAGTTAAAGGGACTGTATTAGAAGATTCTTTGTGAATTGTTCTGCAGACTGGGCCTTTCTGTTTTCTCCGCACTTGAACAAGAAGTCATGTTGACCCCAATTTTTTAAAAGAGCAGAAAAAATGAAACTACTCATCGAAAACTTATGCCACAAAATTTGGGTCACACATTAGTTAAGTGGGAGGTACAATACCAATTACTTCATTGTTCCTGTCAAGGAAGCCATGAGTCTATCCTGCAAAAATAAAAAAAATTTAAAAAGCGAAGTAAGGCAGCATTCTTGACAGGAACAATTCCCTCACCATTACCCCCGCCCCCGCAAAAAAAATGTCTGGTGAGATCAAAACATTAAGGAAGAGAACATATTTAAACATAAAAGAGGACCAGAATGTTCCTCATAGATGACTGTTCTAGGCCATCTTCCTTGTAGGAATTCTAGGTCAGGAAACTGATACCTGATGAGGAAAACAGTTTGAACTTTCTAAAGCATGCTAATAATTAGTATTGAACAAATCCCAATTCAAATATTAAAATAAGGATCTTGAAGTTCCTTATGCTTTCAGCCAAAAAGTAGTTGTGTACAACTTTGTATCTGCATAAGATAATCACGTTTCAGTGTCAACTACCAGAACTATGATAAGCTTGAACCCGCAATAAGAAGGGAGTAAACTGACTTCTCTCAAAGACGCTTAGATTCTCTCAGGTCTCAGCGCACTAATTAGCATACTACCAGTGCCTTCTTTTGCTTGGTCCCCTCAGTGCCCAAGCTGTTTAGGGACTGTCCAATTCAGAGGAAGAGGAAAGAAGACATCCCTACCAGGAGGATCAGAGCATTGGATATAAACATTGACTCAAATACTCCAAAAGACAAGAGCTTTTCTGTGTCCTTGACTTGTATGAGATGGCTAACTTTAGAAATATGAAGACCCTCTCTCTTCATCTTAATACTGTAATACTGCTATCATTTTTATTGCTTTCTCCCACATGGATAAAGATCTAGTCATGCATTAAAAGAAAAAAAAGTTTCCTTTCTGAAAAGAGATATATTTTCCTGGTTTTTCTACGTGTCAGGAACAACTGAACTCAGAAGGAATAATTTAGATTTATTTACAGTCTGAATTCATACAAGACTAAATTGTGACATTTTGTTTCAATCAAGTTTGGCCTTACAATTATGCCACTTTGTCCTGAAGGTGTGTTTTTATTTTTGTAGATATATGATATACAGACCCTTCGTTAGTGATAGATAATTATTAAGTTTATACATGTTAATCATTTAGCAAACGGCTAATAACCGATTGCATTTAATGAATGAATCCTTTTTTAAAAACTTCAAAATTCAACTCTCTTTAAATTTGCTGTATTATTATTTACTTTATTCATCAGGGTGATTGTGCTGTGATTACCTGGAAATAAATAGCCCCTAACTAACTTTGCTACATATCTAGACTTCCTTTCAACAATAGCTAATCCAATATGTTTAAAAAGCAAAAATTAAATTTCATTTTTTATAATCAACAACCACAAAATGATTTTTTTGCAGATAATTATAATGCTTTTCATAAGGTCTTAAAAAGTAGAGTACCAGAGACATAAATATGAGAGAAAATAGCCACTTTCAATAATTTAGTTTAAAAACAATTAACCCTGGGTCATTTCTCAAAGTTAATCTTCTATGTCAGGAAAACTGAGAGTAATTTAGAGAAGCATAATACCTTTTACTAAATATTTCAAATCCTGCACCTTCATCTATATTGTAAGTAGGTAAAGAGAGAATTATTTAATAACAGTTCAGGCATTCCAAAGCTATGAACACCCATCTTGCAAACATCAAAAACTTGTAAGTAAAGAGATGCACACTCTCTTCACCCAACTGCAAAAACCTAAATTGGTGCCAGTTATGGAAACTTTCTAGCTGTCATCTCTTCTCTAGTCCTGCCATTCTCTATCTTGAGAAGAAGGCTAAGCACAAACCAGGCACAGCAACGTAATAGTTTTCTCAGAGGGAGATTTCCTCCCCATTGTTGGATCCTTTTCATTATCAAGGCTCTCAGTGTATTAAAAATTAAAGACATATTAAAACAAGGTTACAACATTTTTAGCATATTTTAAATGTTCCATCCCAACAATGAATTCTAATGACAGTAGACAACCTCAGTAGAAGATAACGTCAAGAATCTAAATTTGAGGCTCTTCACGAAGATGAATACAGACCAAATGGCTCTCCTGGTTCTCTCTATAATTAACTCTGCTATTTACTCCCAGTTTTCATTCCCTTGAAGTTTTTTAACAGGTTTCTCTGCTACCAGTATTTCACACCTACCATCCATCCTCCATAATGCTATCAGAGTGACCTTTCTAAAATGTCCACTTGGTCATGTTATTTCCATGCTTAAAACCCCCTAAGTTTCCAGGGGTCTGTAGACTTAAGACAGGCTGCTTCCCATGGGGACCACAGAACCCTTTCTTGCTCCAGCCCTGGCCTGCCCCTCCATTCCCGTGTCCCAGTGCATCACCTCCCTTCCATTCGGCCTCTGCACTTCGCACACTTTCCTCGGCTCACCCTGTTCCCTGAGCCTGAATTGCTCTCACTCTATCTGCCGGCAAAGAAACTCCTCCTCTTTTAAGATTCACAAGCCTGGTTCACCAACGGTCTCAAGAGGCTCTGGCCACCTTCTTGTTGGCCCTATTGTATCCCAGTTACCTCTTTTGTAGTTTCTATAATGACTATTACACTTAGTTTTTTTATGAGTTTGACTTCCCTTACTATGCTTGAAGTTTCTTGAGGGCAGGGACTGTTTTCATCCACTTTTGTATCTATCCTCAGTGTCTGGAGCACAGGGAGTACTAGATTAATACGTTTTATAATATTTTCATCTTTGTTGTTGGTTTACTTGATTTTTCTTCACTTGTTTCTTTTCCCTTCTCACCATTCCACTTTTGAGTTTTAAAAAATCATTTTAATCTTGACTGATAAGCATTAAAATAGTATTATCAAAGACTTTTATCATGAATAAGTAGGGTTATGTTTTGAAGGGAAATTCTACATAATTTTTAAGAGCCATCAGCTTCTAAAATTCCTTAAGAAAATAAGCCTCTCCATGACAATTTCTATACATCTCTTCATCTTCTTATACTTAAATCTACTTCTCTCCAAGCACAGAGAGACAAGAAAAATTTAACTTTTTATTCAATTTTATGATTTCTCTCTTTGGTTTTATTGCTGCAGTATTATTTTCCTGCTACTTGTTCATTTCAAATATGTAATGTTTCTGCTGCATTGTGGGTTAAATGACTTTCATGTGCTGATTTTCCAACCCCGGCACCATCCATGATATCATTTTCTGTGGAGACATGTATTTTAAGTTGCAATCTGCCTCAAAATCCTTTTGGAATTTAGCACATTTGTAGGTTGTGGATTCTCCACTGAGATTAGGAAAACTGTCATGTGCTAATTTAAATTATTCATTCAGCAAGAATTTATTGAGTAATAACATTTGTCAGAATCAACTTTAGGCTCTGAGGATAAGGCATGGAGTTAATTAGGCCCCTGCCTTCAAGGTGTTTACAATCTAATGCATAAATTTTGCTAAATATTGGCATGTTTCTCTTTCTGCCTCTCCAATACTGCCCCTTGTGAAAACAAATTCTATTTATGATCTTAATCGCATGGAAATAGTTATTATGAGAATAACAAATTAGCTTTAATCTTTCTGAGAATCACCTCATAAATATAAGAAATAGTTTGTCATGTTTATTTCCTTAAATACCCATTTGAGATCTATTCTTTCTGTTTTTCTTTTTAATGAGCTTCCCTCCATCTCAAAGAGATCTGTAATACTTTGTTACTTCATAACATCTACATTGATCCTCGAACACCCTTCTGGAAGGATTTCTCAAGCAATATGCTTATTTTTTAGACCTTTTTTCCTCCAGTCTAGACAAGAGAAGATCCATCCACTATTTGAGGTCTCATTTTTTGTCTTCTATCAAGTAAAAAAAAAAAAAACTGGGTCTGGAGATATAAGTCTTTAACAATGTACAGTACTAAGCATTTAATGTGTGAATTTGTCTTAAATGGTTATACTTTAATCGGATCACAATTATTCCTGGCAACTAATGGATGTATCTGTAAAATGGAATTTGTCCATTAATGATAGAAGGGTTCCTAAAGATCTTTTAACATGAGATAAATAAAGCAGTAGATCAACAGAAGACAGGTATATTTTATAATAATCACCCTGAAAGAGCTATTTCAAGTAACAATTACCCACTCAGGGATGATGGGGGAATTTCTAATGGCTATAGCATAAGAATCACTTACCATGTGGCAAGAAAAACCTGCTATTCCCCCAAGCTTAAAATGGAAACATTCTTTAATGGGAAAATAATGCCTTAATTCACTCTCTTAAAATGTTTAAATTAAATATATATAATACAATGTTTTCATCTCTACAGTCTTACTCATTATTTTTCTAAGCATAATTTTTAAATCTATCCTTTATGCAGAAAAAGCTGGTAAAACAGTAGATTCATTTTTTGTTTCCATGGAAGCCTTCCTTCTATAAAACATGTCTTACCTTTTCTAATTATTTTTTTAATGCCATCATTTCAACTCTTGGTGTTTTCTTCCCCTAAGTCTCCAGTTTAAATCAGTTTTTATTTTGTGGCTTGTCTGACTCTGGAGCTTTCCTCTATGAAACTGGTCATTCCACTCAGAAAAAAACTTAGATTTTTGGTGCCAGTCCGAAAGGAACAAATAGGTCAGCTCCTACTTACTATTTTTGGTGAATAAAGGAAAGAGAAATGTCAGTCTGTTCATATATTGATATATTCATTCAACTAGTATTTACCGAGCATGTATTCTAGACAGATACTAGCTCAGGGACCTGAAGTAAAGCTGGGGAATGTTGACACACACACAAAAATTACTATACATTGCAGAATGAAACACTGAAATTTTCTATCTGGTGTTCTAGGAGAATAGAGAAATATTACTAAATCCTCATACTATTGTTGCAATTTCAATTAAATAGGGTAAGCCCACTGAGTAAATTCTACTCTTCCTAAGTGCTCATGGCTTCTTTTACCAGGGAACTTCTTAATTATATGGGTTCATCAAAAGATAGAGCTGACTTCAGAAACTCCTGTGGAAGGCTTTTAAAAACTCCTTATATCATATTTTAGAGCATCTGTAAATCCGTGGCCACTTTCTCACTGTTATTCTATCCGTATTTTTATTGGAAAAATGCAAAGATCCTCAGCAATCATAAATTAAATGTTAATGATTTTTACATTTTTGAGACACTTTGCTTATAAGAAACACACTGCATTTCAAACATGTTCATATGCTTAAGACATCCATCGAATGAACCTAGGTCCACTGAATCTTATGCAACTCACCCAGACTTACTTGAAACCAGTTTTCTCAGTATGGGTGCCATGGAACCTGAATATATTAATCATAAGAAGAGTTAACAGTCCACCTTATGGATCAGTCAGAAACGTGAACTCAAAATCTTTCCCTGTTTGTTATACTCTCTTTTTTTGCCCTACATCTAGCCTTTCAGTTCCTGGTTGGGACCCTCTAACTTGCATCTCAGTGATGAAGCTCCTCCATGTCTGTCCAGCAATAAACTCAGCTTTGGTATTTTTTAGGTCTGATGATCTTTGTATATTGATTCTGATTTGCTAAAGACCCCTAACATGTATTTTGTATTTAAAATTATATATTTACTATGTGTCAGATACTGTTCTTAGAACTTTGCAAATATGAACCTGTATTAGTACTGATTTGTAATTTTCCTGAAGCAAGAGTTAGAATCACAGATACTTTCAAGAAGCATCATTTAACCAGCCAATGAACCTAGCTGACTGTCCAGTATTCATATCTTATCATCTAGCACTTTCATTACTATTCATCTTTGTTTTTTACTTGTTTCTCATAGTAACTGTCATGATGATTTATGGGCAAAAATTGGCTCAAAGAAGAAAGCCAACTGCTAGAGCTCTTGATAGAAATAAAGAGGAAGGAAAGTAATTCAGAGAAAAAATCTGTTTTAGCCTGAAAATAGAAATTTCCAATAGATTAAATAGTAGCATGTTGAATTTGATGGCAGATCAGATATGTAACATGAAAGAATTCACAGAACTTTCTAGGCAAAGCAAAAGAAAACCATTTCAGGGAGAAATTCTCATGTCCCTAACAATGCAATAAATGCATACTATGGAAAAAAAAAGTCAATGGACATTGAATTTGTTTTTTGTGTGTTGGGAGGATATGTATGAGAAAGAACTATCAAGGGAGAGAAAGCTGGAAGTTAGAATAAAGTCAGAACACTTTCATACTTATAAAATTAGGGATTCACAAAGATCTCCAAATCCTTGTAAATTTCAGAGTTCTACCACACTGTTTAAAAAGCTTCAATATTAAATAATTTTTGTTACCCAATATGAATGTTTTTTGTGATTTTTCACTGTGGTAGAATATAATAAAATGTATAACTTTAATCTTTTGTTGTTGTTCAGATGGAGTCTTTCTCTGTCGCTCAGGTTGGAGTGCAGTGGCGCAATCTCGGTTCACTGCAACCTTTGCCTCCCAGGTTCAAATGATTCTCCTACCTCAGCCTCCCGAGTAGCTGGGACTACAGGCGCCTGCCACCACGCCCGGCTAATTTTTCGTATTTTTAGTAGAGACGGGGTTTCACTGTGTTAGCCAGGATGGTTTCGATCTCCTGACCTCATGATCTGCCCACCTCGGCCTCCCAAAGTGCTGGGATTACAGACGTGAGCCACCACACCCCGCCAACTTTAGTCTTTTTTTTTTTTTTCTTTTGAGACGGAGTTTTGCTCTTATTGCCCAGGCTGGAGTGCAGTGGCATGATCTCAGCTCACTGCAACCTCTGCCTTCCAGTTTCAAGCGATTCTTCTGCCTCAGCCTCCCGAGTAGCTGGGATTACAGGCACCCGCCACCACGCCTGGCTAATTTTTTTTGTATTTGTAGTAGAGACGGGGTTTCACCATGTTGGCCAGGCTGGTCTCTAAACTCCTGACCTCGTGATCCGCCCACCTCGGCCTCCAAAAGTGCTGGGATTACAGGTGTGAGCCACCGCACCCGGCCAACTGTAGTCATTTTTAAGTGTATAATTCACTGGCATTAAGTGCACTCATGTTGTTGTGCAGCCATCACTGCTATCCATCTCCAGAACTTTTTCATCATCCCAAACTGAAACTCTGTACCCACTAAACAATAACTCCAAGTCCTCCCCTCCCCTCAGCTCCTGATAACCACTATTCCACACGCTGTCTCTATGAATTTGGCAACTCTACATACCTCATATAAGTGGAATCATACAATATTCCTCATTTTGTGTGGCGTATATTTTATTTAGCATAATGTCTTTAAGGTTATTATTGCATGAATTAGAATTTTATTCCTTTTTAAGGCTGAATGATATTCCATTGTGTGTATGTACCACATTTTGATTATCCATTCATCTGCCAATGAACATTTGGGTCACTTCTATCTTTTGGCCATTGTGAATAATCTTACTATTGATGCACAAATATCTGTTCATTTGAATCCAGTCTCCTGACCAGAAAAAAAAAATAAATATCTGAACTCATGGCGGCGGCAGCGGCAGCTGTTTGGGCGCGGTGCGGTGGTGACTGAGCTACGAGCCTGGCGGCGGGTGCGCGCCGAGCCCCGGCCCGGCCCCCGCGTGCCTCCCAGGCTCCACACCCCTGATGCTGAGCGGGTGCTGAGCCCGCTCCGGCCGGGACGATGGTGAAGTATTTACTGGGCCAGGGCGTGCTCCGCAGTTCCTGGGACCAAGTGTTCGCCGCCTTTTGGCAGCGGTACCCGAATCCCTGTGGCAAACGTATCTTGACGGAAGACATAGTACACCGGGAGGTGACCCCTGACCAGAAACTGCTGTCCCGGCGACTCATGACCAAGACCGACAGGATGCCCCGCTGGGCCGAGCGACTGTTTCCTGCCAATGTGGCTCACTCGGTGTACATACATATTGGAGGACTCTGTTGTGGACCCACAGAATCAGACCATGACCACCTTCACCTGGAACATCAACCACGCCCGGCCGATGGTGGTGGAGGAACGATGTGTTTACTGTGTGAACTCTGACAACAGTGGCTGGACCGAAATCCGCCGGGAAGCGTGGGTCTCCTCTAGCTTATGCGGTGTCTCCAGAGCTGTCTGGGAATTTGGTCTTGCCCAGTTCAAAAGCAACGTGACCAAGACTTTGAAGGGTTTTGAATATATCTTGGCGAAGCTGCAAGGCGAGGCTGCTTCCAAAACACTTATTAAGACAGCCAGGGAAGCCAAGGAGAAGGCAAAGGAGACGGCCCTGGCAGCTACAGAGAAGGCCAAGGACCTCGCCAGCAAGGCGGCCACCAAGAAGCAGCAGCAGTAGCAGCAGTTTGTGTAGCCAGCCCATCACCACCACAGCTCCCCAGACAGTTGGCTTAGCCCCTCTGCCCTCCCTCCATTGTACTTTATCATTAAAAATCAACTTCCAGCCCTATCTACTGTCTGGGCGGTGGGTTGTGGGGAATCCAGTTTGACATCTGCAGTACACCAGGCACGTGATCCACGTTTGAGCCACGTCTGCTTATTCTCCCATTGGGCAGCTGCAGACCGAGGAACAGAGGGGCAGTGACTTGACCCGGGCTCCAGGTAGCCTGCAGGTAAACTGGCACTAAGTGCTAGACTGTAAACCCCACAAGGGCAGGGCTCTTGGTTTTGTTCTCTGATGTGTCTCAATATCTAGCACATAATAGGCACTCAATAAATACTTGTTGATTTCAAAAAAATAAATAAATAAATATCTGTTGAAGTCTCTACTTTCAGTTATTTTTGTTTATATACTCAGAAGTCGGACTGCTAGATCATATGATAATTCTGTTTAATTTTTTATGGAACCACCATACTTCAACATGAATATTTTTACAGGATTAATGCAGCAAAGCTTAAATGCAAGTAATCATTATCCTCACTGCTGGTTTTAGTAAAATAATTAAAACAATTCACACACACTGTTTAATAACTTATTCGCAGCCAGGCATGGTGGCTCACGCCTATAAAATCCTAGCACTTTGAGAGGCTGAGGTGGGTGGATTGCCTGAGCTCAGGAGTTCAAGACCACCCTAGGCAACATGGTGAAACCCCGTCTCTACTAAAATACAAAAAAAAAAAAAAATTAACCGGGCATGGCAGCTTGCGCCTGCAATACCAGCTACTTGGGAGGCTGAGACAGGAGAATCACTTGAACCCAGGAGGCAGAGGTTGCAATGAGCCGAGATCGCGCCATTGCACTCCAGCCTAGGTGACAGAGCAAGAGACTCCGTCTCAAAAACTAAATAAATAAATAATAAATTTAAAAAATAACTTATTTGGTGGAGTAAATATCTTGCAAAAGTTCCGTTGTTTCCAGTCCTGGATATCTGTAGCCATATGTGCTCTTCTCTTTCTCTCTGGAAGCTGTCCATTGATTTTTCTTGGTGATTTATGCCCTCTGATTCTTAATTATTAACTATATTTTGATGGCAAAAATCCAAAAGCAGAAGAATTATCTACTGTGAAATTTGTTCATCAAAATTTGGGTTCGCATTTTCCTTTGCCTGTACTTTTTACTTATTTCCTCATACAAGTCAGAAATAAATGACAGTTATGATCATGGTCTGTTAACTTTTGATTTTGGTAGTTTATTTTGCAGTATTTTTCCATCTACATTTGTAAGGAAACAACTTACTTAAATGGTTGGAGGTCTTTTTTCCTCCTTTGATTATAGTACTGTCAATTGTGTTTTCATTTGGTTTTATGAGTCTTTTAATATAAAAATACAAACATTGTCCATTATAAAAAAGATTTTTCAAAATCCTTCCAGATCAAAAGCCTAGCCCAAGTATTCAATGTCCATTACAGTTATGCATTAGTGAGAAATAACTTTTGACCTCAAAGTTTTTATAGGAATCAAATGCCAGACAAGCTGTTTTGTATGTCTCATTAATAGCAAAACTGTGGTTTGCTTTATAATGTCAGTGGGATTTATAATGTCAGAGAGATGAGGTGACAAAGGATTAAAATAAAATTCAGTGAAACTTTTTCCCTAACATTTTATTTATGCATAAAACTGAAACCCAGTAATGACCCATATTTCTGTATTTACCTAATTCTGAAAATATAGCATTGCATGTTGTGAAAGTATAATCAAATTAGGAATAATATTCTTATCTGGGGCCATGACGGTATATTCCTCCAAATTTGAAATCTGCTTAAGTTTCTCAGCTGCGTAGCCTTAAATCAACTCAGATCTTTAATTGTGTGAGTTCATTTATTCTGAACCAAATGTAATTTCCCTTTTAGGGAGGGATTGCCTTTAAAAGGTTCATTAATAAAATCCTAATGAGGTATCTTGGATGTTGTAGAATACTGGTGTCATTTTTATGAGTTTAGAACAAAAGGATACAAAATATACAGATAAGATTACCTATCAAATACATGAAGGCAAAATGTTCCTGACAAAGTCAGAACATTATAAAATAGTTGAAAATGTTTCCAGTGCCTTCAAAAAACACCAAAGCAATTATTGCTGATACCTTATGAATCAAAGGTCTTGTTTTTTCATCATGAACTGAATTCAGCCGGCACACTTTTGGACAAAGAAATTGGCACTCCTTGTTGGATTGAGAACCTAGATGACCTTATGCCTCTAACGTAGAGGATATAAATGGTCTATTTGTGCAACTATGCAAATATGCAAATACAATGAATGCCAATTTATAAAATGAAAGGGCTAGTTGAATAAATGTAAATATAAAAACAGTAACAGGGACTCAAGGTCTGTAATAAATTAAGGCTGAGACTAAAATAGAAATCAGATTGTGGATAAATAATCATTGTAATAATAGCAGAACTTGAGCCCAACAACAGTAAAATTTTACATAAGGCTATTAGTTGGCATCAAATGGAGGATCAGTGATAATGGGAAGCATAAGAAGGGTATACAAATTTTAGAGGCTGTTAAAATTGTCAAAGGTCAAAATAGTTTTTTAAATGTAGTGACAAATCCATTCCCTAGCTAGGCTCACACATCGTCTTGTGCCCATTGCACAGTTTCAAATTAGCATTTTACTATGCTCTGACATCTGAAATACTAATAGACAAAAATTAGAATAATTGATCTGCAAAGAATCTCAAGAAATTATACCTGGTCTGCCCCCCAAACAGGAGGACACCTAAGCCATTTAAGATAAAATATGAATTCTCTAATTTGTAAATCTTCAGGAAAATTGCTGCTGCTTTTCTTTCTGCTGGTACATTTATCTGTCTGGCTTTGTGACCTCTGAGTTCAGAACATAAAGTATAACCTTGTTTAAATTAAATCTTCCTCTTTTCTTTATTGGGTCCTCAAAACTGCTGAGTTGATTTTAATATTAAAACAAATAAACAAAAATCCTACACCTAGCTTGTAACTCTGCATGACAAATTCCAGCCCAGGTGTTTTATGATCCAGTGAGAAGTTCTTGAAAAATGAGAAGAAAGAGAGGTTGAATTGTAACATGGATACATTTTGGACTGGATGCCAGCCACTTGAATAAGGTATGAGCGTTTAAGCCTAAAAACTGACTGTATTTTCCTTTTCTTATTTGAACATGCAAAACCTTTTATTTTCATAATCAAGGCCAAATGTATTTCATACTTTGGACTTAAACCAAAACTCAAAAGGAGGATGAAAGAGCATTACCCATGCAAGCAATAGATTTGAGGCCAGTTTTAATTGAAAAGAAAAATCCCACCATCTAGTCATTTTTAGAGCATGAGTTGCATTCACCACACAAATCCTTCATTATTCATACATGGCAGTATGTATTTAATGATTAAGTCTCTAAGGATTTATTTGATAGAATAATCTCCTAAATTTCTTTTTTTAAAGGGCAAATGAAATGTGGTTTTTAATTCTTTAAAGAACAAGTTACAAAGCGTGTAAAAATAAAACACAGGCTCTTAGTTTTTAAAACTATATCTACAATTTGCCTACCCATTGGTTTGTTTATCTGGCTATCAGTAACATACAGACTTGATCTACTAATGGCTAATTATGCAATTGTTTATCAGCTCATTTGAAACATTTTGAGATTCAGTCTAGCTCAGCAAATTACTGTGCTTAAGGCAGTTCTACATTCTAGAAAATTATAATATCCCCAGAAGGCAAAGAATTAATAATAAAAATCCTCTTTTGTAAAAGATTATCATTGCAGAGCAAATGGAGCAGATCTTCCCTATCCTACTGCATTTAATATTCTCATTTTTCCCCTGAAACTTTGATGGAGAGGCAATGAGAATATCTCTGTTTTATTAACTTATTAAGAGGCACATTTATAGAACTCGTGCACTGTATTGATTCCTAAAGCTGCACTGCTGCTAAGAGCCAATAATCACAGCAGAGCAGGATGATTCCATTTGTTATCCCAGAATGTTTCTGATACTCAGTAGAGCCCAAATTTTCACCCAATTCAGAAAGCCCAGTTTTTTCACTTCTCTCAGCCTCAATTTATTCATATGTAAAATAGGCGTAATAAAACAAAAGGCGGCCTCTGGATGTTGTGAGAATGAGATAATGCAGTCAATACACCTAATACAACGCCTGTAGATATTAAATACTGTTAGTTTTTGTCATTATTATGGTTATCATCATCATTACCTCTTGTGGTTCAGGAATCAAATAAAGATGCATGCATTTAAGTAGCCATTTGCCTATGTAGTTATGTAACTTCTCAGTATAAATGTTTTCATGTCAGCTGAAAGTTTAAAATGAACTTACTGTAAGCCCCAGCACTATTTAGCCCAAAACTGCCTTTCCAAGCTAATATCAAATCAGCCAGAATAGGTGGGCTACTAGTATGCAACTGGGATAAATTGCCTAGACCCTGGTTTGGAATTATCCAACCTCATAGCAGCTGGGCTTGATAACATGATATTTTAAAGGCACTTGGTGCCTCTTCTACTGAACTGTGTCAAAGAGTTTTGAACTTTTTCTTCATGACTCAGATTTTGTAGTGGATTTTACCACCTTCATTAGCACTACATTGGATCATCATATTTTAAGAAGAAAAAAAGTCTTTAAAAACTACCCAGATGCCTTACCTAGAACATATGAGACTATTTGCTTTATGGCATTATTTGCATAGAGTATATGTATCATTTCATTTATCTGTCAACCAGGACTACTTTTTCACTTCCTAGTAAGATTTGGTGTGCTACCATTAGCTTATAAATATGGCCGGGTGTGGTGGCTCACGCCTGTAATCCCAGCACTTTGGGAGGCTGAGGTGGGTGGATCATTTGAAGTCAGGAGTTCGAGACCAGCCTGGCCAAAATGGTGTAACCCCATCTCTACTAAAAATACAAAAATTATCTGGAGGTGCTCGCTTGAACGCAGGAGGCACAGGTTGCAGTGAGCCGAGATCGTGACACCTGGGCGGCAGAGCGAGACTGTGTCTCAAATAAATAAATACATAAATACGGCTGAAGCCCTGTGTTTTTATTTTAAACATACTGCATCTTCTGTATATTCAAGGAGTGCGGTTAGTAAGTGCTACTTAGAAGCCAGCCCTAGCGCTAAACTTTGGGGGTAATGGTGGCCCAACTTCCCCTTGCAATTCGTGGCTTCTAAATATCTCTGCCTCTCTTGATTCAGTAAAACAACTAATGTTGCAAGGCATTTCAACTTGGTGAGCAACAAAAGGCTATGATGTTTTCTTTGCCCCCAAAATGTGAAAAGCAAACTATCTAATCAGTAGGGACTAACTCTATCAGTTAGTTTCTTTATTGCACTTCATACCCATTGCCTGACTTTTTCCTATTTCAAAATTTGCCATCAGTTTTTCCTGAATTTGAAAACTCCTAAGAATAGGCTCTTCTTTATTGTTCTCCAAATTTTCCTAGGGCAAATAAAATCCATTACAGGGGGTTACATATGTAGAAGAGTAAAATGGGATCAGAAAAATTAAAATTTCATGTAAGGCTCAGAAGCCAACAGCTGTACAAGTTGAGACCTGCTGGAAAGCAGTGACTCTGAAATAAATTCTTACTCTGTAGACGAATAGGACTTCAGCATGCTACAGGATAATGTTTTGAGCTCCTTCCAACACTAGAAACTGTTTGAATGGGTTATTTTTACTCTACTTATTATAGAGGTGGTTTAGAAAAAGCTAACCTGCAAGGGGCAAAGTGTCTTTCACCAAAGGTTGCCAGAATCTCAATCAAACCCATTACCATGGGCCGTGAAAGCACCACCTTTTCATCACTACCATCACAGCTGTGGTCGTGCTGTTGTTATTGTTGAATCTCTCTGTTCAGCTTTTTATAATTATCATAATTCACCCTAATGTTATGTGATTAGCAGCCTCTGTTGTGGTGAGAATTACACACCACTCACATAGCGTCTGTGACCTTTCACCCCTTGTGGAGTCGGCCAGGGCTGCATTGGCTGGGAGACAAAGTGCAGAAACCCACAGAGCACCACCTGCACTCTCTCAGGCTGGGGGATAAATGGAAAATTTTACCTTCCAACTGTATGTGTTGCTCTCCAGGCAGCCATATTATGAAAGTTCGATTCCTCCACCTCCCTATAAAAACTAATTTATTCTCATCCTAGGAAGATTTTTAAAGGATTTTGTAAAGTATTGCTTTACAGCATTGATACAGAAGGCAAAGTGACTCTGTTAATACAAAGATAAGAGTTCTTTAATTTTATTTGCAACATCATTAGATTAATTGTATGTTGGACATTCAAAGAAGAGATTTGGGGAATTTGATGCCTCTTTGTTTTAGACTGAAGTCAGTACACATGTGATGAGACCACTGAGTGAGAACAGTTGGCAAGAATGTACAAATAACTAGCCATCCTCTTTATCTAATGAAATACGTTTTCTTCCATGCTAGTGTCCTAAGCTTTGTGGAACATTGTTAATCATAAACACTATCGGAATCTGTTATTTAATTTCACAGACCTTTCAGATCATAGCAGCAATTGGTCAGAATTAGAAAATAATTTTCATGCAACTAATGTAAGATGAAAAGTAGTAAAGAGGGGATTTAAAAAATATATGATAAAATAGGCATTTATAGAATATTGCTATGTACCACTTCTATACTTTCGACAAGATTGACAGTATGTAGCATGATGAGTTAAATTTTCTTTAGCACAGTACAAAATCTCTGCATTTTTTCTAATTACCACTTCCTACAAGTCAGCGCAAAGAGGAATAGGCTCACTTGGTTCAGCTCAATTTCCACAGCTTGACAGGCATTGATATCAAAATTAATTCTAAGATGAAACTTCATAAAAGAAAATCCTATTTGACAAAAAGAACTATTGGGCTTGAATCACAGTTGCATTTGCATTGTGAAATCCCTTTTTTATTGTATAGGAAATAATGCCTAAGGAGAGATTGAATATCCAGAGAGAGTTCATTTGAGGCATCCTGATAGTATCTGCCATATGCAAGTAAAGCAGAAGACGTTTTTATGACATCTTCAGAACTTGAAGATTGAATTACAGTTTTAGTAATCATCAGTTCCCCTTCTCCACTGTCACTTTTTGGTAATATATTGCATAGAAAAGACTTATAGTACCGGTTTTATAAGCTTGCAATAAAAATATAACAACTGTTGTATTAAATTATTTAAGTTGTAAACCATTGTGAAAAAGGAGAAAAAGTTTTATCGACATGGAGGCTGAAAAACTGATTATGATGGAGAGCAAAATGTATTGTACTGATTACTCCCAAGTTTTTCCCTGGTTTAGCATATTGTAAATCTTCAGGGTATCTTTCAAATCAAGGTCTGGGTATGAGAAGTTCTTTTATTTATTGATAATTTAGAACTGGCCGGTGGCAAGAAAAAAAATGGTACCTGTGTGTTTCCAGGTTACCAATTTATTTTAGAAGAGTTATAAATGCAAATAAACTAAGTAAAAAAGAGGTAATATAGACTCAAGTAAATGTTTCTTTTTGATGAAAAGAAACCTAGTAAATATGAAATAACTACATTTACCCAGGGAAATTTAGACTCTAGAGATCGTCTAATGTTTCTAGAAATATTTTTTTCTTACCTTATATTGGTTTTATGGGCACTTATTACCTCTACTATTTAGCAGACTACCATTCTGCTACTGTGTGCAAAGATTCTAGGCTAAGATGTTTTCTCCTCTCCAGGCGTCCTCCATATTCACTCCATTGGAAAGTCTACCCTTCCAATGTCAGACTTCTTCAAGAACTTTCTGTTAATCAGTGCCTCCTTTCCCTTGTGTTTCTAGCCCACACTGGGAATCTAGGTGCATTCTCTGGCTTGCTCAGAATGTCAGCATCCCATATTTATGCACTCACACTCTTCCTCAGTGCCCCCAGGATTGCTGGACACTGAAACATGGTTCATATCAGGCTCTACCCACCTCCCTCCTACACACACACACCTTGGCCACCCAGAAGAAAGAAGGAATTTCCTTGACTAAATAATCAGATTTTATTTCTCTAAAGGAAATTAGAATAGGGAAGACACGTATTTCTACGTGGTAAATCGAATCACCCAGGGGATGCACAATAACTGGGGGTTAGTCCATTCTTTAGCATGATCCAAGACAATAAATCAGGCACTCTTACTTGATGCTGTAAATGATTTCTCCCTCTCACCGAGGCTCAACAGCAGCAAGCTGGACATATTCTCACTTTGATGGCAGTGATATTACTAATAATGTAACTTATAGGTGTCAAGAACTGTATGTTATTTAATCCTCGCAACATCCAAATAAAATAAGCATTATTCTGATTTTACAGATGAAGAGATTTAATTCTTGTTCAAAATCACATAACTAAAAAGTATTAAAAATCAGAATTCAAATTAAGCACAGGGCACTTGAGGGCTTACCAACTCTACTACACTGATAATGTAATGATTCCATCTCTAAGTCACCATCACCAAAAGGAAAGAATAGGATAAGAAAGAAGTATGGAACATGTCATGTTCCTCTCTGGATTCTCCCATGCATTCATTTGTCACACATTTCTTGAGTGCAGGTAATATATCAGATTCTATCCTTGTTCTGTAAAGATAAATAATTTATAGTCACTGCCTTTATTATTCATTGGGAAGGAAAACCGGTGAATGATTGAAGTTCACTATGATGATGTAATTGAAATGTATACAAGGTGCTATGAGGACACTGGAAAAATTTAAATTCCAAAGAATTCAGTGTTTTTACTTAGTGATGGCCTTCTCTAGGACAACAGTAAATCCCCTAAGGGTGAATCCAGCAGCTCTTTGTCCTCAGCTAAGACATTCTATGAATGTAACTGTCTGCCTCCCGCTCCCTGGACTGAGAAGGAAGCCACTTAGCTAGGTCAACTCCACTCATTTACCTGAAACCAAAGGAGCTTCCTCCTTCTTCCCACACCTCTAGCTTTATGGCCAGGAGCACTCAAGTCAGTTTGGAGCAATTTGGGTCAACAATTTGGAATTGGAAGATAATTATCTTGGGCTACTTCCCTGACATCTGGAATCCAGGAAGGCAAATTTCTTGGTTTAATTAGATCCCCCACACCTTCCTTTCTGATCCCACAGCAAAGATACTTGAAATTAAGTAGCCACAGATGTATGGATAACTAGTACCAAAGCCACCAATTCCTGTGGGCATGACCTCTATCACTGAGACATTCTGCCAAGCTGGCTTCATTGTATGGACATGGCCCAGTAGTCAAGAACTATACTGTCTTCTACACAACATCCAAAGATCACCATGACCCCCCACTGAGAATAGATCAGAAAACACTACATGCTTTTCATTCTTTTTCTTGAGATAGAGCCTCACTCTGTCACCCAGGCTGGATTGTAGTGGTGTGATCTCAACTCACTGCAGCCTCTGCATCCTGGGTTCAAGTGATTATCCTGCCTCAGCCTCCAGGGTAGCTGGGATTGCAGGTGCCCCCCAGAATGCCTGGCTAATTTTTGTAGATTTTTAGTAGAGTCAGGGTTTCTCCATGTTGGCCAGGCTGATCTTGAACTCCTGACCTCAACTGATCTGCCCACCTTGGCCTCCCAAAGTTCTGGGATTACAGGCATAAGCCACTGTGCCCGGCCCCCATTCTCTCTTTTTTTTTTTTGAGACGGAGTCTCTCTGTCACCCAGGCTGGAGTGTAATGGCACGATCTCGGCTCACTGCAACCTCCACCTCCCGGGTTCAAGCGATTCTGCTGCCTCAGCCTCCCAAGTAGCTGGGACTACAGGCACCCGCCACCACGCCCAGCTAATTTTTGAATTTTTAGTAGAGATGGCATTTCACCATGTTGGCCAGGATGGTCTCAATCTCTTGACCTCATGATCTGCCCGCCTCGGCCTTTCATGCTTTGTATGAATAAGAATCATGAACTTGCATTCACAGTACAACAGTCACTATAGGCACAAGTCACTAAGTTGAGCTTCCTAGATGTACAGTTTCATAGAAGAACCATATGTTTAAAATACCTTAGTAAAGAAAACGTAGCAAAACTTTTTTTTTTTGAGTCGGAGTTTTGCTCTTGTTGCCCAGGCTGGAGTGCAATGGCGTGATCTCGGCACACCACAACCTCCGCCTCCTGGGTTCAAGTGATTCTCCTGCGTCAGCCTCCTGAGTAGCTGGGATTACAGGCATGTGCCACCATGCCCGGCTAATTTTGTATTTTTAGTAGAGACGGGGTTTCTCCATGTTGGTCAGGCTGGTCATGAACTCCCAACCTCAGGTGATCCGCCCACCTCGGCCTCCCAAAGTGCTGGGATTACAGGCGTGAGCCACCGCACCCAGCCAAGGTAGCAAAACTTAATACATGATCCAACATGGCTAGAACCTCCTTTCTTTAATTCAGGGTAACCGGGTTTTTTTTCTTTCCTAACTAGGAGAATGGCTAATATCATTATAGTAAAAGCCTATTCATTATTCTACAAAGACAGGAAAAGAACAGGTTGTTTGGTCCTTGACAACAAAAATCTATGGGGCTGGAACTAGAAAACTCTTGAAAACCAGGTTGCCTGACTCACCTTGAATAAACAAGGCTACTAAGGGCTTTTACAGGTTGAAGGCTGAAGGGAAGAGAATCTTCAGAGGGTTTCTTTGACCTAGAGTGATGAAATATGTGGCCACAGAGCAGGGCATATGTACTACCCTGATCTGCCCCATAGATCTACCCAATAGATCATTATGGATGCCCAGGTGGGGTTAAAAGCCTCCTAAAGACTGAGCAAGTGAAGGACAATCATCTAACCCAGGAACTGCCAGGGACAGTATTTTCTTTAGGGAAGCCTGGCAAAGACCTGGGCCTGAAGTTTTTATGTAGTGATAAAAGATTAGAACCTTATAACCTACACTTTAGGGAAGACCTGAAAGGCAAACAAAGAAAGGAGTTGCACACACATATATTGTCTAGAAAATAAATATTTCTACAGTTTATTCTAGAAAAGAAAGAATATACAATAGCTTGGTCTATCAGAGATCAGCTGGTTTCAACTGCAGGAAAATGTCATGCAGAGATAAATATTTTATAACTAGATACGGCAGGCCTTGAAGATAGCAACTGCTATTGCTTACCATAGGAGATTATAAATATGGGCATAGCTATGAATAATAAGATTGGTGACAATGCAATAATTTTTCACCTTACATATACCCTCAGACAGTAGGTGCTAATGTCTTTTAATATAAGGGACAATGAATCTATGCAGGAGACTTAGTTGAAAGTGCTGGTTGGTTTCACACCAGCTGTCAAATAGGCCTTTCAAAACTCCTTTATGCATTGGAAACAGTGACCTGGGGGTGAGAGGCTCCTAGCCCAGAAACTGATCCCTTGAGCCATAGAGATCTCAATCCCGGACGATTGTGATTAATCCATGCTGACAAACCAGATTTGGATCAATAGAAATTATCTGTAACAAGAAACTAATTGTGTATTTAGTAAATTCATGGAAATTTTTGGTGACTTTAAATTTATACGGAAAAGACCCTATTGACTTTTGAAATCAAAATTCATACCACTTTAGGGTAATATTGCCTTGGGTTATAATAAATTATGGTCGTCCACCTTCTCTCTTGGGTAATATATGGTCTGAAGGCATCTAATCTGTTTCCTCTTAAACTATGAATATTCTTTAATTATTATTTAGAGAGACTTTAAATCTCTATTTACATAATATAGAAAAGCACAGAACATGTACCTCTTATACTATTTTCATACGCCATTCCTGTTTAAATGAAGCAGCAAATACAGCCAATTTCAAACCATGTTACAATCTCAGTTCAAATTATGCAGTGGCTTAGAATAGTAAAAAGATGTCCCTAAAGTTGCATCCTCTTCAGGGTATCAGAGACCTCAGGTGTTAGAGAGCTGCTGAGAGGAGAAGTGGATGAACCAATGAACCAGTGTTGAATTTATATTGTACTTTTCACACAGGAAGATTCTCTAGGCCTTCAGTACACCTACATGTGAATCCATGTGTGACGACGTCTAACTCTTTTCACTTAATTTCCTTATGGACCATTTTTCTGGAATGGAAGATGGAAAATTTCAGCCAGCCACAAATGGACTGAGACTCACCAATCTCATTTCACATTGAGCAGGTGTCCCAGACAGGGTTTGAAACCAAGCTACAAAGATTTTTTTTAAAAAAAAAGAAAAAGAAAGAAAATACTATTAGAACTAAACAGATGGCCCTGCATAGGAGCTTATGTAGTCAGCTTCAACTGGGTTTGTCTTAGTATCCAGGAGTAAGCCCTGCCTCATAATTCTTTGCAATTTAGTATTATTAAAATCCTCTTTTTTGCAGAAACTGCTAACATATCTAATAGAAGGACCTCACTAATCATTTCACTCTCAAGGAGGGAAAAAGTCTAAAGGCCAGGGCTTGAGGTCACAGGTCTATGAGGGAATGCTACAACGCCTGTATTTTATCAAATACAGGAACTATAAGAAGCCTTCACCTCTGAACCAGGTTGCTCTTTTTCTGGCTCCAAACAGAACTGTTCAAGCCATTCTCTGCCTTAAATGGGTAAAAACCCCTTTCAATATTCACTAGAATCCTCTAGCATGCCTGCATTACTTGTATTTAAGATTTTAAGCAGACTATTAGTGTTTGTTCTGAATAGTTGTACCACTGTGCCAAGCACATGTAGGGCAATAGGTGAAAGGGTAAAGAGCCCTTGTTTGATAGAATTTACATGCTGTGTGAGTCTAAATTGTTTAGCTGCCTGATAGAAGTTTTATAAAGCCTAAATATCCATAAGCTTAACAGATATGCAGGAGAACTAAAAAACTGCTTGTTTTATTTCTTCAAAGGTCATGCTTTTTTCCCATGACATAACAGTAAATAGCATGACAAAATGCCTTCAATATATCATAAATTTATGGAAAATAACCATTGACTTCTCAGGATAGTTTAGGATATAAATACTTTGGGATTGATATTGTAGATGCTCTTCAAGTATGAGCAAGAAATATTGCCAAACTCATAATTGTTCAAATAAATCATGAATGTGATATAAATTAAAAATTAGAATGGTATTAGCCACACACAGGGAAAAAAATAGTTCTAGAACAGTGCACTTTACTCATAAAATATATTGGGTTGAAATTGTACAAATCTGAAAACCATTGAGAGCAGACCTAGATGTAACTGAAAGTCTGTTTAATGTTGTTCTCTGATTGTCTCCATGTTATAAGTTCCCTGGCTCAGTGGAACCATCTTATAGATTAAAGTAATTCCTGAGCCCGCTAGTGTGTTTACTAACTATCCTAATGTCACTTAAAAGAAACAACAAAGCAGAAGCAACCTTAAAAAGATATAACACCAATGTTGTAGTCCCTCTTCCAGAATATTTAGCTATTCTTCAATCTATACTACAGCCCTGACACGTCACAAAGCTCCATTCCTGTGTGTTATCTAGATGTAACATATCTCCAGTTGAATTTTCCTCCCTACTTCAAACCTTATAAACCAGAGGTCAGCAATGTATGTCCCACAGCCAATGCTAGTCAGCCACCTGTTTTTGTAAATAAGGTTTTACTGAAACTCAGCTACACATATTCATTTACATATTGTCTGTGGCTTCTTTTGCCTTACGACAGAGTCGAGTAGTAGCAACAAAGATATGTTGGCTCACAAAGTCAAAAATATTTGCTACGTGACCATCTTCAGAAAAAAAAAATTGTCGACCCATTATAAACAAAAAAACTCAGGATCTCTTCCAAAAAATGTGCCTCTTCTCCATTCCTACTACAACTTTAATTTGGGGGATTTATCATGATATGTTCATATTACTGCGTGGCCTCCACTCTAGTTATATGCTGCCGCATAATAGAATACCCCAAAACTTAGTGAATTTAAACAACAACCGTTGTATTATAACTCATCATTTTTTGGATGAGAAATTTGGGCAAGGCTCAGCTGAATGATTCATTAACAACAGTCAGTCATTGGAATTCATCTGGTAGCTGGGCCTGTCTTGAGGGTTTAAGGCAGCTTTACTCACATGTCTGGTGCCTTGGTGAGCAACAGCTGGACAACTGGATTCACCTGAGCCCTTTTGCCTGCCCCATATTCTCTGGGCTTCTCCAGATGATCTTTTTCTGCAGGATGGTTAGACTTCTCATATGGCAATTCAGGACTCCAAGATACCAAAATGGAATCTCCCAGTCCTCTTAAAGCCTGCTGGCACAGTGTCACTTCTTCCATGGACCATCTGAGATTCATGGGGAAAGGAAATACACCCCACCTTTCAAGGGGAGGAATTTCAAGGAGCTTGTGGCCATCTTTAATCTGTTACTACCTCCTAACTGGTCACCCTGCCTCAAATCTTTTTTCATACTCTGGCCATATATTCCCAAAATCTCAATTTCATTCTATCTTCCCCCTTCTCAAAAACCTAAGATGGCTTCCTCTAGCCTATTTGGTTTAAATTCCTCTCCCTGACATTCATAACTCATTATATAAAAGGGTCCTACTATAATAATCTTACCTAATTTTGCATTAGTCTCTGTTTGTTAATCATTAGTCTGTTTGTCTTACATAGTCCTCGCCTTCCCCTACTCTGTTCTGTATCACAGGGAAGCTGACCCCTGCAGGATGTTTTTCCTAGGCTCCTTGTCAACTTCAGACTGGGCCTGGCAAATAGGAGACATTGGTGGGAGATTAGGGGGTGGCAGAAGTCAAGTTATTTCTCCTTCTCTCTGCTTCATGCAGATCTCTGGAAATGATTGCATTTTTATACCTCCTGTGCTCCAGATCCAACTGGTTAAGCCTTCTCTAGTTCCATCATCCTCTGAGTGACCCTGGTTTCTGAGCTCCAGAAACTCTGTATTCTCCCTTGTCATTCCAACCAAAGCATTGCTGACAGCTTCCTGAAGTTGCTCATCTCTAAATTGCTATACTGTCTCCTGTTCATCATCCCAGGCTTTGATCACCTTTAAAGTAAATTCCCTGTATTAAATTCCTTCTATTTAAACTAAACTCAAGTAGTTTCTGTTCTGATTAGATCCCAGCTGTTCTCAACACAAAGTATCCACTCCAGGCTGGGCAATTTTGTACCTGGCCCTTCAGCCCCTATGTGCCTGTTATGGTATTTCTGGCCTGGACCTCTGGCCTCATTCTTCAAAGCCCAGCTCAAGCTTCATCTTCCTCAAAATGCCTTTCAGCATCACTCCAGTTTTTACTCACCTGACCCTATCATTCCTTGGTGACTTTCAATGTGTCTGTTTTCCCAGTTTGTAAGTTCATTGAGGAAGCTTGTACTTGAATCCTATTCCCCACAGTTCCCACCACAGTGCCAATGCACACAAAGCACTCAATAAATATTGCTTATTTGCTTCAATATAATATCTTTTAGGTCTGACTAATTTCTATGAGACATCAGGGCTAAAATCATCTGTACTCCTGAATGGAGTGAATTTAGGGATGCTTTTTTGGGTTAGTGATACTCTTAAGTTTTTCCCATCCTGGATGAACATGTTATAATAGACAGGGAGAGACTATTTTTGTTTTGCGGTGGCAGGTAGTGGCTGTTAGGCACACAGTATAATTCAATGTCCTATATGAAGTAGATATCAAATATGAAATGAAAAGAAAAAGCCTACACCATAACTGATGGATTTGTGTGGAAAAGCCAATGAAAAAAATATTTAAATATGACAGTCTTTTTGATACTTTTATAAAGTACCATTAATTCTGGAATTAAAGAACAAATATGATCTACATATATTTAAATAAGATCATAATAAAGGAAAATGCCACAGAAAATAAATATAAATTAATAAATCTAAAATCCAGTCTTTCATGTCTCACATTTCTTATGCCCTAGATCCATATTTTATTCTTTTTCCCCTGATAACAAGTGCTGGAAACATCAGAGATTCAATAAACATTTTAATTGTTTGAAAATATCTAACAGATGATGTTCCTGCCATCTAGTCGCAAAATTGTCTTAAGGGATTATTTTATGCAAAATTGTTCAATTTGGGGGTTTTGTTTTGCAAAATAAAATACTAATAAGAAAGTTTGCTACAGTATTTACTGTTTTCAAGCCAAAAAAACATGTTTATTTGGGACCAGAACATGGTCCAGTTTGAGTTCTTAAGATCTGCTATAACTAACTAACTCAGCTTCTAGTATTTCAAGATGACATCAGAAGAAGCTCTGCCTTTTTTTGCAAAAAAAAAAAAAAATGTAAAATGGCTGGCTAATTTTGAAAATGAATTTCTTCTCTGCTGCTCTTCTCAACCACAGAGACAGTCATTTGAATGCTTTACAGAAAAGGCCTCAAGCCTCCTCAGATGTCACCTTTTCATTGCACTGCTGATCATTTAGAGGGCAGACGTGTTCCAGACAGCTTTAATTAAACTGTACTGAGGATGCAGATAGATGTCAATGGAAATGATCCGTAACATGTATTTAACAGTGTTCCATCCAGTTCAATCACCTTCTAGCATTTCAGTGGATTTACATTCATGTAGCAAAGACTGAATGTGTATATGTATTTTTTAAAAATCTATCTCATTAGTGGCCATATGCTTCAGCTTCAATGGATACAAGAACTGTCTGCAATCTGCCAGGGATTTAGCAGCATCAATAATTTGTGAATAGTCATGTTGGTACTGGTCGAAGGGTTAAGTGCTCTGCACTCCAGGGGCATCTCTTTTGGGATTTGAACCCTTAGTTGACTGTTAGGAACCTTATCCCCTGTGAGGTTTCCTACTACATGCTGCTTGTCAGATGCATCCAGCTGTAGCTGGGAAGCATTATTAGGTCTGGGATTTAAAGATCCGTGTTAAGTACTGATAGAATGGTGTCTTTGACTTAAAAAGCAGGGAGAGTATACTGTGGCAAACTCAAGGAGGTTTTCATGTTCCATGTTAAGTATGCGTCCTTTCCTTTTGCCTATTCTTTCATACACTCCTTGTGAAAAGATTCCACAGCATCCTTTTGAGAAACAGTTTATATTTAACATTTCTTCCTAGAACTTCCTAGTAAATTAGATTGCATCAGCCAAAGTTCAAACATAAACGTCACCTTAAAATAAGAGAAGGTGCCGGGTGCAGTGGCTCACGCCTGTAATCCTAGTACTTTGGGAGGCCAGGGCAGGCAGATGACTTGAGGTCAGTGGTTTGAGACCAGCCTGGCCAACATGGTGAAACCCCATCTCTACTAAAAATACAAAAAAATTAGCCAGGCCTGGTGGCGGACATCTGTAATCCCAGCTACTTGGGAGGCTGAGGCAGGAGAACCGCTTGACCTTGGGAGGCAGAGGTTGCAGTGAGCCGAGATCGTGCCATTGCACTCCAGCCTGGGTGACAGAGCAAGGCTCCATCTCAAAAAATAAAAATGAAAAATAATAAGAGAAGTTTTGATATGAAAAGCATTGCTTCTCATTCCCCTACCCAGAGAGTGAAGAACAGGTAACATGAATGATTTTTGAAGTTTAACTTATGATACTAGTCTTGAATTAAGATTTCTCAAATGTAGTTGTTTTAATACCAACAGCAACAAAGGTCATATAAAAGCTTTTACAGCATGTGCTAGCCTGTTACTTCATGTACGCATAACCCTTGTCTGTCTTGTTCACTCTTAGAGGCTTTGCACTTGTCACAGTGCCTGGCAGATAGTACTTAATGAATGTTGGATGGATGGGTGGATGGCAGAAAGAGACAAAGGGAAAAAGAGAAAGAATGAAGGAAAGAAAGAAGAAAACACTTGGAAAAAACAGTTTAGTTGATCTGATCTGCATGCAAGTATTTGCTCTCAGTAATATTTTCTAGAAGCTGTTCTAAGAGGATCTGGGGGTGGATGTTTAGCATAAAACATGTTTCAACAGTTTTAATGGATATAGATTTCTGAGACAACTTACATTATTATGACCTGTTAGTAGTAGTAGCACTTAGTTCACTTGTTGAGTAAAGGATGGGAACAATTATGTTGTGATGACAGATTTCCATTAGGTTTTTTTTTTTCTGCCACATATCTAGACGTGACTTAGTTTTAATGTACCTGAATACTCCCATAGTAAAGTGTATTGTGATTTCATCAAGGAGGGCAATAATTATTAAGCAGAGGAATCTTTAGTCTTTCTCTCTTTGAATATCTAACTGATCTTAAAAATAAAGTGGCTTGTCTATTTGCAGTTGATTTTCTACATGTGTTTGTTTCCAGTAATTCCCGCCTTCTTACCCCGGAGTAGTTTAACCCATCTCTTAATTGTCCCTAGCTGATGTCTAGAAGGTCTTTTTAAACTTCTTAACTGCACAATGAGCCCTCAGTGGACACCTTGATTGTGTTTGTTTGGGAAAATGCCAAGCACTAATGAGTATTTTGTTTAATGTAATGGAAACTGAAAGTACATGGCTTCTTCCCTGACTGATCAATGCCCACTTCTGTTGTTTGAATGTATCTATACATTCTAAATTCAAAAAAGAAGTGTCACAAGAGGGCAGAGCACTTAGTGTCTGCCCAAGGAAGGACTTGAAGATTCAGAAGTTTTGTTTATTTGGGCCCGGTATAGACAGACAGTACTGGAGTTAGTACTCTAGGGCCTCCTCCTCTGTGCTCAGATATGCAATTTTTATTAAACCCAAAGTCCATAATCTTAAACTTTTTCATGTTAATTTAACAAAATAATAAGGGAATGAATTATGTTGTTGAATTCTAAGCCAGGCAGTATCTACTTCTAAGAAGTTACCCATTTTTATTTCATCATTATTTTTTATAAAATATTTGGTATATATTATATTTACCTTATTGTTTGCTTTTTCTGAAGTTCAAATCACAATGTGTCCAACATAAAATTTTCAGTAAATAATTAAAGCATTATTTCTTAGTTAAATAAACAGTAGTATTTGCAGAAAAATGAAATCTTAAGCAACTGAGTAGGCAAGCATGATCAAGTATGTTTGAGTGAAGAGTAACGATCTCCATATGGTGCTAACATTCTACACAGGGACTAAGTGGAAAGTGTAGAAGATGTTTCATTGAACCATATCTAGCTGAATTGATACAGAGCTCCTTTCGGTAGTATTTATAATTTATAGACTTCTTTTTTTTATTTTTTTTGAGACAGAGTTTCACTCTTGTTGCCCAGGCTGGAGTGCAATGGCGCGATCTCAGCTCACTGCAACCTTTACCTCCTGGGTTCAAGACATTCTCCTGCCTCAGCTTCCTGAGTAGCTGGAATTACAGGCATCCACCACAATGCCTGGCTATTTTTTGTATTTTTAGTAGAGACAGGGTTTCACCATGTTGGCCAGGCTGGTCTCGAACTCCTGACCTCAGGTGATCCACCCACCTCGGCCTCCCAGAGTGCTGGGATTACAGGCGTGAGCCACCATGCCTGGCCTATAGACTTCTTGTATGTGCTAGATAATTTTCACAAGAAAAGATTTCCAACCATTTAAAATTTTAAATGAGATTTACCTTTCATCCAAAATTTCCTGGGTTTGGTGATTTCATTAAAGATCTACGGAGATGGTAAGAAAAGAAAGGTTTTGAATCTAAAAAATGGAAATAATTTAATTCCTCAAATTCAAATTTAATGACTCGCTTTCTCTTTATTTCCAAGCCACCATCTTGCTTGATCACACAATCACTTTCCTTTGGAGACTGGAAATATGCAAGCCTCCCCAAATTACAGTTTATAATGGAAAGCTCCCCTGACCCTTAATAATTGTTACTTTGCTGAAACACTGTAATACCTAAACTAAGTTGCTTATTACACCAAACATGAAGTCCTTTGACCCTTAGAGTTCAATATTGATTAGCCCCACTTTTGTCAATATCACCTCTAATGTCAACAGTTCAATGTGAAATAAATTCAGTAAAGGATAGTCTTCTTAATCCACACACATTAAAAATGTTTAATTCCTATTCATTACAAATTTCACCCAGTTCAAGAATTGTTTCTTCCATATTCTTAGTTAATAATTGGAGACTGGGCAACATTGTGAGTATGTGGTTAAATGTCATTACAATAAGAGGTTAGCTGTAAGTTAACCTATACCAAGGACCGGATTCATGAAAAGTCATCTCTGATAAAATTACTCCAAAGGAAACTTGAAGCAAATGTATTACAAATTCATCAAACGTGGCTGAGATATTTTTTAATCCTGAGATCATGGAGGGAAATGCTTTTAAAAAGAATATTCAAGTGCTTGCTTTGCCCTTGGATAATGCAATAGAAGCTTGTGGTATTTTTCAGATTGTCAAATGTGTATCAAAGAGTTATTCTCTTGGCAAATTCCATGAATTTCAGTTCCATTTCTTGACAATTTAAAATTTGATTATCCAATTATAACTAAAGATCATTAGTCTAATGTGGCAACTTCATGACAGTTTTAGTTACAAGAGAAGTTCTCAGTTTAGAGAGGAAACTGCCATATGAGAAATTTTTATTGAACTTGTAAGTTGAACAGTATTGTGGAAAGAATTTTGTTTTCTTCTTGTGGTTTTATTATTTATTAATAAAAAATATATACTTTTTCCCCTGCCCCATGTTTATAAGGTGCCATATCATATGCCTCACCTCTCTGATTGACATCATCAAATTAACAGCAAGTGCCCTCTGATATTGCTGATTTTTGTCATCATTAGATTTTGTCTTAAATGTTTATTTAGAGTTCCATTTCTTTGTTTTATTTTTAATAACCATAACCTGAATATCATTTTCAGAACTAGAGAAAGGCATTTTCATTTCAATCATATTATAAGTAGAATTTCTGCTAAAATGAAAAACCAGAAAAATTGAGGACATGGCAAATATTTTAACATTAGTTTTATTTGATGTGATAATGGAAAATTCCTCAAGCAAAACATACCACAGGACCAGACAAAATGGGTGCTGAGTGTCAGAAAGATAGGAGAATCTTTATCCACATCTCACCCCCAAAGAAATCAACTTTGCAGTGGTAGATGAGTTTGTGGAACAGCTGTTGATTGTGTACCTGCTCTGTTCAAGATCAACAGTGAAAACTTATTGTTTTTCGATTTTGGAATCTTAAGAGTTGCAGACACTGCTGGAAGCACAGATGGACAAGATGGCATCTGCGCTGCTTCTGGTATCTGTGACCCATTTACCCAGAGGAGAAATTATCCATGCAGCATGCTGGTTTAACATTTCGATCAACAAACAACAACTCCACCACCCAGCTTGAGGAGTGAGATCTTCACTCTAACTGTTCTCAGCACAGTCTCCTGGTGCAAAGCTGGACTAAGAATTTTAACATTACACTTTGCACCTCTTTTATTCAATGGTAAGACCCAAAATAAACCTTTCTGCCTAGGTATGAACATCTCTTTTGCTTCAAAGGTTCGAAAGTATTCTCTGTCAACACAAACTCCCTGACCTCCATGCTTAGAGCTGCGTAAAAGTTAACTTCTTCTGAGCCACTTGTTGAAACTTGTAAATGAACTGACTTTTCTGCAGTTGTGACTTATCAATTACATCAGCATTATCATTTCTTGCCCACTGGCAGAGGAGTTATAGTTGTAGATGGGAGTCTTATCGGGCATTCGGTATGACTTCCTTGTCAACTCACTTCATTCCATGTGGAAAGAGACAGGTGTACACTAGAGCTTTCAAAATCTATTTAGAGACCCAGCATCTAGCAGAAAATAATTTTTTTCTATACAGCACTTTGTTGTTTTTACCCACTATTGTGCTATGCATGCATTGTAGCGCATTACCTTACTTAATCTTCTTGGTAATTCTCTAAGGTACAAGGAGATTAAAACTGACTTGGGCAAGGACATTACAAACTGGAGAGCCAGGACTTGAACCTCGGTAATCTGACACCAAAGTTCTTATTCCTAACCACTTCATTTATACTGATACTCTAAGAATTTCCTTTCTATAACTAAAATTATGTATTAAATTTTTTACATTTATTAGAAGAATAAATTCTAAAAATATAAAAACTAACTCTTGGCCAATATGGAAGCATTTTATTAGTGTACTGAAGATAGAATTTGAGATCAGAGGCGGGGTACATTTACTTCTAATTTACGAGTTGGTACATGGGAGCAGAAAATGTGGTAATAAGAGTTTTTCTGCCTTTTTAGACATTCAGCCCATTTTTTCACCAGATTATTGGTGAGATGCATGTTCTGTAGTGTTACAGCTTACCCACCATAGTCAAAATGTTCTGTAGAGCTATTTAAGTAGATGTGATGAGGGTTTGTTTTAAGTAAAGGGTGAATGTGACTTTCATTATTCTCTGTGATATATAAACATGAATTAATAAAGGTTTCTCTTGAAACTTGTTCAAGAATTGGCATGCATTTCCAATTAATCTCATAACTTATATTTAACTGTTTGGCTGTGCTCCATAATTGATGGATGTTATTTTAATTCAGATACAGAGAGGGAGAGAATGCCCAGACTAGACAACAGGGTATATGTCAACTTTTAGACACATTTTACTCTCCCAATTAATCTATGTTTTGGGCCCATCACACTTTGGCTCACAAGACCTCTGTAAATGACCATTATTGTCAGTTCTTAACAAATTGCTAAAATGACTTTTCCTAAAAGATCCATCATATTGGTGACAAACCTTGCACAGGGTAGGACATCCAGGTTACTGATTAGCTTTCAAGAATGGACTCAATGGAAAATCAGTTAAATCTTCAGAAAAGATGGACTTAAAGGAGCATTTGGCTGATGGAACCCAGTAGGCTGGGAGAGACAGCACTTGAAGTCTGGGTAAAGGTATGAAGATGAAAGTGAGAAAAACAGATAAAATCAGAAAGTAAAGAACTATTGAGAGAATAAAACATATATATACTTTTCTTCTTCATTGTCTATAAGGTAAAGTCCAGGTCCCTTCACACAGCATTCGAGGCCCTTCACAAATTGATGCCGACCATTTCTCAACCTTATCCCCTAGCACTGTCCCCTCTGTTTCATGTCCTGCTGGCACAGTGTGTGCTCTTCCCAGGAACACGGCACACTCATGTAATAGTGCCGCTGAACTTGCTTTCTCCTCTGCCTTCACTTGATTGACTTAGAAAAGTCTTCATTTCTGAACCTTAAATGTTACTTTCTTTTTATGAAAACTTTGCAAACTCCTTCTTCCCCACCTCCACTCATCACACCCAACAAGAAGTAATTGCCTTTCCCCCACTCCCCAAGCTTCTTTCAGCATCTTCCTTATCATGTTGACATTTGCTAGGGGTCAAAATGCATACTTTACTCTTCTTGGTACTACCAAGCACCTAGCATTCAATCTGTTTTTACTCAACTACGTTCCTTTTTAACATCCAGGTCACTTTCCACTCCCTAGCTCCTTCATGATATGTCTTCCTCCCTCACTCTTATTTTTAGAATAATAACATTATTCCAGTGCAACACAATCACATAATAATAAAGATAACTAACATTTGTATAATAATACTTTATAAATTACCAATATTTTCAAATCTGTATTAGTTTTCTAGGGCTGCCACGACAAAATACCACAAATGGGGTGCCTTAAACAATAGAAATTTATTTTCCCACAGTTCTGGAGGGTGGACGTCCAAGATCAAGGTGCTGGCAGGTTTGGTTTCTTCTGAGGCCTCTCTCCTTGGCTTGTAGATGGTTTCCTCTCATTGTGTCCTCACATGGTCACTCCTCAGTGTGTGGACTGTGTCCTGATCTCCTCTTCTTATAAGGATATCAATCATATTGTATTAAGGTCTACTCATATGACCTTATTTTATCTTAGTTACCTCTTTAAAGGTGCTATCTCCAAGTACAGTCACATTCTGAGGTACTGAGAGTCAGGACTTCAGCATGTGCATTTGGGACAGGGGTTGTGGGGAAAAGACACAATTCAGCCCGTGAGTATCCATTATCTCATTTATCCTCATAAGCAATAACTGCAGCCACTCTGTGCCCGTGCACTATTTTCATGGTGAACTTCTTCAAAAGACGGCTCTTCTGCACCTAACTTTACTTCTTCAGGCCTTCATGATCTAGACCTCAAGTCTATTTATTTTGGAAAGGGGCTTTGTTCCTTAATGAGTGAATACAACAGTGCATCAAAATTCTAGAGTTTCTTACAGAGTTTAAATTGTCAAGAGCTGAGCCTCATTGTCAGTAGAAGAAGAAGAAGAAAGTGCTCCTTCCCTAGCACTGAGAAAACAGGAAAACTAAATTCGTAAGCAAAACTTGTTTTTTGCAGTCATTCAAAGCCTAAGTAAGGCATTTAAAGGTGCATATGTTGGGCATTTCAACTGGAAAAATGCTAGCCTAGTTAAGAATGGAAACGGGTACCTACTGCCTTGTACGTCTGCCTATTTTCTGACCCCAGGGCCCGCAAAGCACCCATTGATGTGAATGGCTCCTTTCATATGAAAAAAACAGTGAGGCTGGTCTCGAACTCCCAACCTCAGATGAACTGCCTGCCTTGGCCTCCCAAAGTGCTAGGATTACAGGCATGAGCAACCGCGCCTGGCCTTTCAAAAGGATCTTAATCCCAGGCCAATGTGGGGAGCACTGTATATACTACAGTATGACTGAGAGTTGTTTTAGAGCCCTGCAAAGTTCCCTTGTTAGCATTTTAGTCAGGGGTATGAAGACACTGTGCACTGCAAGACTCAACCCATTTCTGATCCCTTTCTCATGAATCACTCTGATACTATACCCAGAAAAAGCCATCACATGCCATCTAATGCATTTCAGGACTGCATCTGAGCTGCAAGCGGAAGACACAGTAGATGTGACATTGACTGTGAACTGCACATGAAGCAAGTGCAACCTCAGGCCTGCCTTGCTTCAGAAGGTGGGTAGCTATGTCTTGCCCTCTTTACAAGTTGAAAAGTGGGGAAACAATGCAATGGCTTGATCATAAGGTCACTTTCTCTCCAATCGAGAATTATTTCCCTTCCTTTTATAAAGTGGGAAAATGTAAAATCCTCCTGATGGGTAGAGTGATTTTTGAAATGTTTTTGGAAGGTAGAGGCTGCTGATTCTGTGCTTCCCTTTTTTCTCTAGGAATCTCCCTCTTCTCCTTTTCACTTCCTTCGACTTTTGATAGAAACAGTTTATATTAATATGGTGATGCCACTTATGTGTATAAATAAATGCAAACAGCTATTAAATGTTCAGAAAGTAGCATCAACATCTTTTTACACAACTTGTGCTAGTGAGTGTTTTTTCGTCATAATTTCCAAGTCCTGCTGCCAAAGAGCATTTCCCAGAGATCTTTGTAGTAGTGTATGCATCCAGCACATGATTGCGAGAAACCCACAACTGAGGAAGAGATCTTTAAGATTTGAAATTTGAAGAATTTTTGCCACTAAGTGACAGACCCTCACATCAATATTTAACTAACAAGGTTTTCTCTTAGCGTACACAAATATATATTTGATTTCGGTTCTAAACATTATATATATATATATGTGTGTGTATATATATTTATGTATGTATACACACACACATATATATATGAATCCATTTTATTCTGTTTTTTTTTAACTTTTATTAACCATGCCCTCTTGCCAGAAGAGTTTAGAGATCATCAGCATCAAAATTAGTGTATGTTGATGACTATCCCAGCATCCAAAACACAAAAATATGTAAGACCCTATCAGTGCACAAAGTTGTAGGCAGCTATGGGAAAGTGAGCATTTTTTTTTTTTTTTTTTGAGATGGAGTCTCACTCTGTCGCCCAGGCTGGAGTGTAGTGGTATGATCTCCACTCACTGCAACCTCCATCTCCCGGGTTCAAGCAATTCTCTGCCTCAGCCTCCCGAGTAGCTGGGATTGCAGGCACCCACCACCATGCCTGGCTAATTTTTGTCTTTTTAGTAGAGACAGGGTTTCACCATCTTGGCTAGGCTGGTCTTGAATTCCTGACCTCATGATCCACCCACCTCAGCCTCCCAAAGTGCTGGGATTACAGGCATGAGCCACCGTGCCCAGCCCAGAAAGTGAGCATTTTCTTAAATGAGCCTTGATTTCCCTCTTGCATACCAATGTAAAAATACCAATTAGCATCTTTTTTCTGGATCTGTGTTGTGTTTGTGCATATCTGCCTAGTAGCCCTCGTATTCTTTCTCCTCCCTCTCCTAAGAGCGCTTCCTGCTCTTTCCCTAATTGTTGGGCAGTAAGAGAGATGGGCAGATCAATCTAAGTGAGTAAAGCTTGCAGAGAGCAGAAATAGATTTGCTAACTTTGATGATGGCTTCTAGTGACTCCTTACCATACACGTGGCTGGGTCGCCATAAAGCCACCTGAGCCAATCACCTTA